>NC_000009.12:67255969-67422115 GCF_000001405.40 Homo sapiens
ATTTTAGTTTTATATTTTCCAGTTTGAAAGTTTGATACCTAAAGTCTTTTATAAAAGAAGTTGATTAATGGGTACAAAAGTCGAGTTAAGTAAAAGAAATTCTAGTATTTGATAGAACTAGAGAAATTATAGTTAACAGTAATTTATTGGATATTTCAAAATAGCCAGAAGAGAATTGTAATGTTCCCACCACAGAGGATAACTGCTCAAAGTGATGGATATCCCAATTACCCTGATTTGATCATTATGCATTGTATTCTAGTATCAAAATAGCACATGTGCCCCCAGTATATGTACAACTCTGACATGCCAGTTTAATTTTTTTTAATTCAGAAAGCCTTATTCTGAAAATACATAAGTGTTGCAATGATGAAATATCAATTATTGTGATCTTTTGCCACAAATGCATACAAAAGAAGGTTTGAGAACTGGGCAATTTAAAACATACAGTATTTACTAGATACTGTGGAGTTTCTAACCGTAACTGGACTAAGAGTGTTTTGTCTGTAAATCAGAATATACATGCAGTTGAGACATATATGTAATAAAATATAACCAAAAGTATATAAATATAAGCATTTTATTATATATGCATATATGCAATATTATTGGCCAAATATTTATTACATATACAGTTACATACACATATATAATAAAATACTTTTGCAGCAGAGTAGACAAATGCCTTTATTTTGGCCAGAGACAAAATTAGTGGCATAGCTAAGACCAGGACCCCAGGTTCCCCTAGGGGATCCTCCAGGTCTCTTTGTATTGGACCCAGACGTGTGCATTTATTTTCCCAGTCACATAATTAATACTCATGGTATTCAACAGGCTGTGTGCTTTCAGAAGGCAGAGACTAAAATATATTTTTTACTCTGTGTCCTCAATTCCCAGGACAATGTCTGTTCGACAAAAGGTGAGCGCTGAGTGTTTGGGGTTTTTTGTTTGTTTTTTGTATTTTTTGAGACAGGGTCTCACTTTGCCACCCAGGCTGGAGTGCAGTGGTGCACACATGGCTCACTACAGCCTCTACCTCCCAGGCTCAAGGTATCCTCCCACCTCAGCCTCCCATGTAGCTGCTACAGGTGTGCACCATCACACCCAGCTAATTTTTGTATTTTTTGTAGAGACGGGGCCTCACTATGTTGCCCAGGCTGGTTTCGAACTCCAGAGCTCAAGCAATCTGCCCACCCCAGTCTTCTAAAGTGTTGGGATTACAGGCATGAGCCACTGTGCCCGGCCTGTGTTTGTTGCCTGAACTACTGGGAGCAGTGTTTCACAGACCACTTTCACACTCATTAGTCTATGTATTACTTATAAGGGTGTAGTATGTATTTGGTTTTGAATCTGTGGGACTCATTTTGCATTTACAAAGTTAACAAGGAAAGAAATACCCAGTAATCATAAAACGACTTTAAAAAATAATGATAAATTAATATTCTGCAAAATGAATATCTAAATCCAGTGTTACTATTTTTATTTGTAATGAATAATCACTTAGATATTATTCTAAGACAATTTTAGAAGGGAAGTTACCTTCTTGATTTTTCCCCTTCTCTGTAATCATTTAGATCAGGAATTGGCAAACGGGTCAGGAATTGATAACCTCTTGCTTTGGGTGAAATCCAGACCACTAGTCTATTTTTGCATGGCAGTGAGCTAAGAATGTTTTCTTTACATTTTTAAAAGGTTGAAAAATAAAAAGAATATTTCATGTCATATAAAACTTGTATGAAATTCAGATTTCATATCCATAAATTTTTATTGCAACCCAGCCATGCCTGTGTCTGTGGCTGCTTTCACACTTGGTGGCAGAGTTAAGTAGTTGCTGTGAGAAGCTGCATGGCCTGCATAGCTTACTGTATGGTCCTTTACACAAAATGTTTGCCCATCCCTGATTTAGATTCATGGTAGTCTCTGTGCTCTCAAAATATTGAAAATGTTAAGTATTCTGTTAAGCTCTATGATGTTGGTTTCAAATTGAGATAAGAGATCAGAGTTAATTTTGCCCGTATGTTAATCAGAATAATTTTAATGGTTTCGGTTGTTGTTCTTTAGGACTAGTGACACAATAGTCCTTTCCCAAAAGGAGCACCTCCCAGTCACTCAGATTGTGATGACAGACGCAGGCCAACCACATTCCGAAGCAGATTATACACTGGGGCCACTGCTCTGCCGCGGAGATAGTAAGTAGTGTCAAGAAAAAGCTTTATTTTCATAATAACTTTTTTTGGTTATAAAGGGGTAGACAAATGCCCTTGTTCTTGCCAGAAAGAGAATAGTGGCAGTACTAGGACTGGGGTGAATATCAGGAAAACACACATACCATAAAGGCACAGTCAGTACTGAAGATCTGTGTTTCCTTACTGAAGCATTAGTTTATAGAAAATGAATCATCTTTGTTTTAACTTATTACTTGCTTGGCTGGATTTATTATCAATTGATTGTATTTTTTCCAGAACAATCATGAGATGAACTATTTTCTGAATGCTAAGGGATATTTATTCATTGCCCTTATACTCTTCAGACAACTATAGTGGTAGGAAATTATTGGACACTCTCTATTTTCTGACCTCTGTACATACTGTTTTACATTACATGGCACCGAATGTGTATTAATCTCTTTCCTGCAGCATTTTCGTTCATGGGTGGCTTTCATGGTCAAGTCCTCGCTCCCCCACCTCAGTGGCACTATAAGCCCAGGGTTCTTAGAGGATCTACCTACTGGGTAGCACGGGAACCACAACTAAGCTAGTAAAAATCTTCTTTCCCTGAGAAAAATTGTAATAGTGTTTCTTACCCACTAGCATCATACATTGCCGTGGAGAAGTCTGAGACTAAATGTATTTTTATTTCCTGTTCTACCTCAATGTGTGGAGGCTACTTCTGAGAGGGATGGTTCAACAAGGAGCCTGAGCCTCTCTGTACATTCTTGCCGAGTGTGCCAGATGGTGTGGTGTCTCCATCCCCTAATACCAAGCAGTTTCTGTAGCCAATCGTGTAGGCAGCTAAGTAGTTCAAAGAGAACACAACATCACTATCGACGCGTACTCACTCCCCAGAGAGGGCGGGGACCGGCTTGTCTCCTGCTTGATGAAGGAGTCCCGGACCCTTGTCTGGGGGCTCCTCATCTGAGATGCAAACCTACCCACTGTGTGTGTAGCATCCACCTGGGCCAATGGATTGTGTTGCCCTGTGAAATTTGGAGATAAGGGGAACCAATGCAAATATTCTGACACTCATGCTGCATGCTGTGCTGTGAGCAATAAAGTTCTTTAACTCTGACCCGGAAATTTTGTGTTTTCTATCAGCATCCATTAATCTGTGGCAAGCTAAATTGTTAGCTTGCAAGTAGGGTGAAATCTCAGACTCTTCACAGCTCTTGACAGATATGTTATCCTTCAATTTCAAAAACTTATCCAGAATATGCCTTAGCGTTAATTATTCTGTTAATTTTTTCTAAAATGAAATATGCTTATTTTGACCGAAATATTCTGTTCTCTTTTAAGAAAAAATGGTTTTTATTATGCTTTGAATACTTTGTTTCATTTGTTGGATTCTCTGCATCTAGGACTGTTGACTTGTTTCCTTTGCCCCCCATACATTTTTTCTGTTTCTTCCAATGGCTTTAATCTCTTTGTCCTTCTCCTATGCATTCAATATGATTATTCTAAGCTTTTCCCAATGTCAGTAATTTGTTATCAGCTGTGTTCTCCATTTCCAGATATTTCCGATTTCTCTGTTACCTCTGTGATTTTGTTTGGGTCTTTGATTTTTTTTTCCTTAAAAATCATCTTTTCTGTTTATCTCATATTTTAGCTCTTATTTTACTGAATTGGTTTTTATATTATTCCCATAGTGTGAAACTCTTATGAAATTTTTCTTTCCTTGTGTTCTCTCTTAATTTCCTTCCTCCATCCCATTCAGATGGCTCCTTCCTTCCTTCCTCCCTCCCTCCCTCCCTCTTTCTCTCCCTCCCTTCCTCCCTCCCATTCAGTCTGGCTTTTATACTCCTTCCTTCCTTCCTTCCTTCCTTCCTTCCTTCCTTCCCCACTCCCTCCCTCCCTCTCTTCTTTCTTTCTCTCTCTTTCTTTTCTTTCTTTTTCTTTCTTTCTTTCCTGTCTTCTTTTTTTCTTTCTCAGTATGTTTGCACTGTTTCTGTGCTTTTTGAAACATTGTTTATACTTGTAGTGTAAGTCTACACTACAGGTCTGTCTGGCAGGTCTGTCCAGACATTTAATTCATTTATATGGAATGGAGTTGAATTCTTCTCGACATTCATCTCTTCACAATCAGACACATACTTCTTGTCCCTTCTGAACTGCAATAGCAGGACTAGAGTTGGTCATCCTATCAATATTTTTTCCCATAATCTAAGAGCTCAAGGGAGGGATCTGTTGAATTGTATCTGATTTACTGGCCATTCTCTGTGCTGTTTTATCTTCAAGAATTATTAAATGTCCTGTGCCAGGCATCACACTGAAGCATGGAGGGTATATCTGCAGGCTTCAGATGCCTCCCACAGTTCAGTAATAACCCCTGGAAATTTGTAGCCTTTTCCCCTGCCTATTGATACTCTGACATCAAACACTGGTTTCTAGGTACTCTGTACTTCTCAGAAACATTTTCTAGATTATTTTCTCTCTGGAAATTTACCTCAGCCCTTCATTTCTCTCCAAATGTGGCTGTATTTGTGAGACTCTTCAGGATATGTCATTCACCTTCAGTTTATATCTTACTTTCAGCAAGACTTCTGAAAGTATGGAGAAGAGAAAGTGTGATATTTGAAATATTCCCTTCTCTTTTTGGGAGACTGAGATGGGAGGATGGCTTGAGCCTAGGAGTTCAACACAAGCCCGGACAAGATGGTAAGACCTTGTCTCTTACAAAAAAACTAAAAATTAGCTGGGCATGGTGGCCTGTAGTCCCAGCAACTAGGAAGGCTTAGGTGAGATGATCTCTTGAGCCCAGGAATGTGAGGTGGCAGTGAACTATGATCATGCCACTGCACTCCAGCCTGGGTGACAAAGTGAGACCTCATCTCTAAAATAAATAAATAAATTGATTAATGAAGAAAGAAAGAAAAATAAAATATTATCTTCTGTAAAACTTGTAGCTTCCTCTTCGTTTCTCTTTTCCTTTCCTTCATCTCTGTTTTCTTTAACATAACACTTATTGATTCTTTTCCCTTCTTTTGGGGCAGCTGGGACTAGGGGATCTGCAGGGATAGGGTCAAGGAATGACCACTGGGTTAGAAGCTTGGTTCCACACTGGGGAATGAGCAAATCTGTAAATACAGTAAGGAGAGTAGGAGTGACCTCACTGAGGAAAGAGTTATACATGTGGGAAGGAGGAAGACTGTAATGAACCCTGTGGTGCTGGGTTAAAAACGGAGGTATCCACATGAACTCATGGATTTTAATATACATAATAGATAACTGTAGAATACACATAGAAGAGAGAGACTGCGTGTGTGTATGTGTGTGTGTGAGAGAGAGAGAGAGATACAAATACACATATTTCCTAGCTGACTACTGAGAGGGCTAGAAGCAATGACACCCTAGTAAATAGCCTGCAGATCTGGGCTTCTAAACACCATTTTCTGTCATTCTCTGCTAAAAAAGAAACCACGACTCCTTGAAGAAATGGCTGATTCCAGAAATGTGGCAGAGAAAATTTAAGATGAGCCTGGATCATTTTGTCATGACAAAGGGGAAAAAAAAAGCTGAAAAAGGCATGGGTGTCAGCTTAAAGGAGCTGCCACATTTGAGACAACTTAAGCATCAAAATAAGTTATAGAGTATAAACCATTGAATAGAATACAAATTCAAGAGTGACGTGAATAAACAAATGCATAAATACACAAATAAATTAGTAAAAGATCAAGAGAAAAGCTATTTCTTGGTTTGTTTATTTGTTTGTTTTTGAGATGGAGTCTCGCTCTGTTGCGCAGGCTGGAGTGCAGTGGCACGATCTCGGCTCACTGCAAGCTCCGCCTCCCGGGTTCACGTCATTCTCCTGCCTCAGCCTCCCGACTAGCTGGGACTACAGGCACCCACCACCATGCCTGGCTAATTTTTTGTATTTTTAGTAGAGACGGGGTTTCACCGTGTTAGCCAGGATGGTCTGGATCTCCTGACCTCATGATCCGTCCGCCTTGGCCTCCCAAACTGCTGGGATTACAGGCGTGAGCCACTGCACCTAGCCGAGAAAAGCTATTTCTGACGGAGGCATGTCAACCAATTAATGTGGAAGGAATGACAGAGCTTAGAAAATCACCATTGGCAGCCATCAGAATAAAAATTCAATCAGGAGCCATCAATATATTGTAAAACCATTGGATGAAAAAATTTTAAACTGGGTAAAGTTGTGTTTCTGTAACCTTAAAGTGTCAAAAATACATGAAAAAAGAGAAAAATAATAACTTCATGTTGGAGAAACTGGACAAATGCCACTTTACAAGGCACTTGAAACTAACAGGACCAGTGATGGGCTGATCAGCATTGCTGCCTGCTGCTGCGACACACTGAGGAGAACACAGCAGCCCTTCTGTGGTATTTTTGACAAAAATGCACAACATGAATCCAATCATGAGTATGTCAGACAAATCCAAGTTGAGGAACATTCTGCAAGTCAACTGAAAAATACCAAAAAGTCAAAAGTACACAGAAGATAAGAAAAGACTCACACACTGTACCAGAATAAAGGACACTAAAGAGGCCTGAGTAATACATGTGATGTGCAGTCCTGTGATGGGTTTTGGACAGAAGGGAACAAATAAGCTTCTTCTTGTTCTTGATTGTTCTTGCCATGAAAGGAATTAAGACAGTGTGTGTGTGTGTGTGTGTGTGTGTGTGTGTGTGTGTGTGTGTGTGTGTGCAGGAAGGAAAGCAAGAGTCTGTGTTCTGGCTTCTGGAGTCATTTATCCAACTACCTCCTTCAAATCTCCACTTGGATGCCTAATAGATATCTCAAATGAAGCATGTCCCAAACTGAGCTGCTGCTCGAACCTGCTTCTTTAGAATTATTTCCCTTCCTAGTTAGACCAAAAACCCCAAAGTCACCTCAGACTCCACCCTTCTTCTCACATCTTACCGAGTTCTTCAGTAAGTTCTGTTGGTCGTATCTTTGAGGTGATTCTGAACTTGACCCTGTCCCTACTGTGTTGCTGCGCGATCCCCTGACTGGTCTCATTGCTTTTGCTTCGCTTTTGTTTGGCCTTCTCTGAACACAGAATTCCAATCCTCAGCGTAATCACTATTTAGCTCTTGATGTCATCAGTATATGACATGGATGCTCAGAACCCCCAGTGAAAGCTCATATACATTCTATTAATGTATTTAGCAGTCATAATCCTGTAAGTATCAAATGTAGCTGTTATTTTTGTTTCATGACTTTTTTTCCTTTTGTCGTTTTCTCTATTGTAAACAGAGTCATTCTGGAATTCAGCTTCCTTCAACACTGAGACTTCATACCTTCATTTCCCTGCTTTCCACGGAGAACTCACTGCTGACGTGTGCTTCTTTTTTAAGACCACAGTTTCCTCCGGGGTGTTTATGGAGAACCTGGGGATCACAGACTTCATCAGGATTGAGCTGCGGGGTAAGCTGGCCACTCTGGACAAGTCACAGGATACCCATTATTTAGCAATAAAAGCTTTAACTCAACAAAATGGTAGTATTTCATTCTTACTTTGTGATTCTATTTCATTATAAAACACTAAACTTCTATGATTTTAGGTAATTTTTTGTTTTTGAGAGAGGGAGAGAGCATTTTGCTGTGTCACTCATGCTGGAGTGCAGTGGCATTATCTCGGCTCACTGCAACCTCAGCCTCCTGGGTTCAAGCAATTCTCCTGCCTCAGTCTCCTGAGTAGCTGGGACTATAGGCACGCACCACCATGCCCAGCTAATTTTTGTATTTTTAGTAGAGGTGGGGTTTTGCCATGTTGACCAGGCTGGTCTTCAACTCCTGGCCTCAAGTGATCCGCCTGCCTCGGGTTCCCAAAGTGCTGGGATTACAGGTGTGAACTGCCACACCCAGCCAGTAATCATTTTTAAGAGAAAATAAAACAATGAAGCACGTAATAATCCATTAAAATGTCATGCCTTTCCTAGAGTACTGAACAGCAGAGCCAGAGCTTTAAACCAAACTCATCACATTGTTTACTGAATTCCAAAAATATTTGACCAGACATATTGTTTTTTATGTACCCAAAGCTTAATTTATGACTGTCAAAATTTACATTCAGTGTTTATAGAATTAGATGAGACTTTGAGCCGTTTGTAAATAAAATTACTGAAACCTCAAAAACAAATACTATTTGGTATTCTAGCTATGGGTACATAGCTATGGGTAGTCCAGCTATGGGTACATATCTCTACTATTTAGGACTTAACAAGGTTGAATTGTGAACTCTGAGGATAAATATGTTAAAATCCGTTCTGTTTTCCTCCAGGATACAGATTTATTCTGCCCCCACCCCAACTCACAGTCTTGTTTTTCTGCATCGCCGTCATTATCTCCTTCCATCCTGAGCGTGCCTTCATGTTTTCCTGTGTCTGCACAAGACTCAATTTTCTGTGAATTTGCTTGAGCAATATTCATATCTAATATTTCTAGCTCCCACAGAAGTGACCTTTTCCTTCGATGTGGGGAATGGACCTTGTGAGGTCACGGTGCAGTCACCCACTCCCTTTAATGACAATCAGTGGCACCACGTGAGGGCAGAGAGAAATGTTAAAGGAGCGTCTCTTCAAGTTGATCAGCTTCCTCAGAAGATGCAGCCTGCCCCTGCTGATGGGCACGTTCGTTTACAGCTCAACAGCCAGCTCTTCATTGGTGAGTGCTGGTGGTTTATAACTGAATTTAGTGTGAGTCCAGAGAGGGACCAAAAGAAATTAAGAACTGTGATGTACTGAGAGCAACAGTTGCCAACAACTACTGCTTATTGGTACTATTTGCTGATAACCTGGTAGGTTCCAGGAGCTTGCTGTGTGCTTCTTATTTGACATTTCTTTTGTTTGTTTGTTTGTTTTTGTTTTTGTTTTCAGACAGAGTCTCACTGTGTCGCCCAGGCTGGAGTGCAGTGGTGCAATCTCAGCCCACTGAAACCTCCACCTGCCGGGTTCAAGCGATTCTCCTGCCTCAGCCTCCTGAGTAGCTGGGATTACAGGCGCAGGTGCCACCACGCCTGGCTAATTTTTGTATTTTTAATAGAGACACGGTTTTACCATGTTGGCCAGGATGGTCGTGATCTCTTGACCTGATGATCCACCCACCTCAGCCTCTCAAAGTGCTGGGATTACAGGCGCGAGCCACCGGGCCCTGCAGTATCTCAGTGTTTAGGTATCAATGTTTAGGTATTGTCATCTGTTTACAGATGAGATAGCCAAGCCTCAGAGAAGTGGAGTAACCAGCTAATGAGAGGGATCCCAGGATAGCCAACCCCCAAACTTGAACCATTCACAATGCAGAGGATTGGCATATGTGACAGCTATATTTTATCAACACTATTAGTGAGATCATTAGACATTTTTATCCATTCCTTCAGTTTCACTTCTCGGTGGAGTTAGAGAGCTTGTAATTGGGACAGAAGTCCTCCAGGGTCCACTCAAAACCAGATCGCAGGATACCCGCTGATTGGAAGCAGCACTGCGCACCTCCCCCGCGGCCAGGCTTCCAGGAGCCCACTCCCGGTTTTCCTCGCTGCTGTTCTCACTTCTGGGGCTCTCTCATCACAGGCTCCTTGTTTATAACCCGGTCTGGCTCATCTGTTCTTGCACTCCATTTATTTAAAGGTGATAGCTCTGGAAGTCTTTCCTTTAGTTTGCTTACTTACTGTTTTATCACTGTTGTTTATTTTTCCATATTGCTTTTGAAACTATTCTAACGTAGGAGCTACACAGATTAAAGCTCTCACTTGTTCATTCTTAAGTGTTTTAAAGCGAATAAGGATGCAATCTAATTAAAACTGGACTAAATCACAAATTATCATCCAACCTAATTTACAGGGGAGGGTAGATACAACTTCCAGGTACTAAATGTTACACATGAACCCATGTATGTATGTGGATGTGGATGGGGTGTTATACCATGACTTCCTAAAACCTAGCTTCAGGCGTGGTTAGCTCTTCTATTAAGTTGCAGTGAGGCTTTTTCAAAGGACATGAAACCATCAAACTACTGGAAAGGAGGACTACACGGAGGGGTCAAACCAAGAACTTGATTTTCTCACTTGTAATCTTGGAGATTATTTAAGGGAATGCCTAGAAACACAATTAGCATAAAATTCACCTAGAATCAGCATTCATTGCGGTGGATGAAGCACTGGCTTCAGAATCACCCACAAAGCTGATTGATAGTTCAGATTTGGGGCCCCCACCTTAGGCCACCGAATTGGAATCTCTGGGAGGAGGCTAAAAACTGCATTTTTCCAGAAACTCTAGGTAATTTCCATGCTCCTAACATTGAGAATTGTCGCCTTCGTAATGGTGTTTGTCACTACACAGGTGTTGTAAACCTCTCTAAATGGTTTCTTCAGCATTCAAGTTTGACATGACAAAATGTGCATGCATGCAGTATTCAATTACTGTTTAGCACTGTACCCTCTGAGAGGAGGAGATCCTGGGGTATGGTGTCACCCCTTCCAACTTCCCCTCCTTTGCTTATCCATTTCCTTTCACACTTTATTTTTAGAGTCCATCCAAGTAACAAATTTATCCATATATATTTTTATTATTGTGAAAAATTTGGAAGTTCATACCTAACCATTATAATGCACATTCTTATTCATAAAGAAATTAAAATAATGTTTGATGAATGCACATTCTTATTCCTAAACAAAGTAAAATAGTGTTTGATGTGATTTATATTATGTATTTTGTTCTTTGTAAAGGAACTAAAGTGAAATTCTTTCTTACCTGAAGTTAAGGAAATGTTTTTAGAAGGACTATTTGCCAGACTCACCATGTTTGAAAGTTATGTAAATAAATGTTTTATTCAATGTCATTTAAAGCTGCATATCTCATAACAGTTATATTTTCAAAATTGTATATGTTCACAAAATTTTTTGACACATTGTGATTATTGCCACTCTCCATAAGGCCTGAGTTTGACATGGACATAAAATCCTGAATAAAATACCAAGGAACACATTTCTATTTGCAGTGTTTCCGTTGTAGGTGGAACGGCCACCAGACAGAGAGGCTTTCTAGGATGCATTCGGTCTCTGCAGTTGAACGGGGTGGCCCTGGATCTTGAAGAAAGAGCCACAGTGATGCCAGGAGTGGAGCCAGGGTGTGCAGGACACTGCAGCACCTATGGACACTTGTGTCGCAATGGAGGGAGATGCAGAGAGAAACGCAGGGGGGTCACCTGTGACTGTGCCTTCTCAGCCTATGATGGACCGTTCTGCTCCAATGGTAAGTGTGACCAAGGAGCAGGTTATAGGGAAAGTACATGAAACTTAAATAGTATGAAGAATGCTTCTGGCATTTGATATTATAAAGAGAGGATAAGATTGAATTATTTGAAATGGAATAATTTCTGTACCAAATTCCTCTATTGAATTTAGAAGGGATATGACTGTTTTTGAAAACTTAAGGCTATCAGTCCTCTCTGGGTTTCTTATTTAGAAGATCTCTGGGTTACCCCAGCATCTGTTCAATGCTAATCCTCTTGAAATAATTTGGTTTTCAAAACTCTGTCCTTGTACTGTTCTAATTTTAACATCAGTAAAGCATCATTCTTATTTTTGTTTTTAATTTTTAGAGACAACGTATTGCTATTCAAGCCTCTCTGTTGCCCAGGCCGGACTTGAACTCCTAGGCTTGAGCAATCGTCTTACCCATTGTCCCTTGTGACAGTGACTTTAAGTGATTCAAAAGGCCTTTATAGAAATGTCTTTTCTTATAAAACAAACATACTAACTAGAAGGGGAAAAGAATACTTAAATATTGACAGTCATTAACAGGATCACTCAAACACTTTGCTCTATGATGTTTGACTCTTCTTAGAGGAGTGCAGTGGGGTATCACACAGCTTCTGCTCAGGTACAATCATGTTTTCAAAAGAAAAGGGCTGGGCGTGGTGGCTCATGCCTGTAATCCCAGCACTTTGGGAGGCCAAGGCAGGCGGATCACGAGGTCAGGAATTCAAGACCAGCCTGGCCAACATGGTGAAACCTCATCTTTACTAAAAATACAAAAATTAGCAGGGCATCCCAGCTACTCGGGAGGCTGAGGCAGGAGAATTGCTTGAACCCGGGAGGCAGAGGTTGCAGTGAGTCGAGATCGCACCACTGCACTCACTCCTGGGCGACAGAGTGAGACTCCGTCTTGGGGGAAAAAAAAAAGAAAAGGAAAAAGGGACTGATTTTAGTATTAAGTACTCTGTACTGACTTATTTAATATATTTGTAATACTTTTATGAAACCTCTTACAATATTGATTCATCAGAGCTAAAATGTAATTGTGTGTTTAAGTGTCTCTGGGCTGTTACACTTACTATTTTTAGCAGCAAAACAGGCTTTAATCACTATAAATTGTGTGACTTTCAAAAGAATTTTGAGGATTCATTATCTAGAAGTCATTTAAATTTTCAGAAGGTCTTGCATATGTCTTTTATTAGTCCTGAAGATCTCTGTGCTCACAAATCTCATAGCTCTGGTGCAAATACAGAGCTCTTTTTATATCTCAAGCCAACATCAGGAGTAACCACTCCTTCATGAGCACAAGTGCTGATTTCTAAATCATTCCCAATCCACATTTGCTAAGTGCAATTTGAATGTTATTTTATAACCCAAAATTTTCTTAAGGATAGACATTATATGGTAAGTAAATGGAAAATGGTCCTCCAGTGGCTGGGGCATATGTTATAGTTAGATTACCTAATCTAATAAGAATGATCTGGATTTTCAGTAAATTCTTTATATTTTATGGAAATGGAAAGAGTGGAGTAGTATTCCAAGACAGTGATCATCACCCAACATTTTCTTTTTATTTACAGATACATTTGGGGTGTGTGTGTATGTGTATGTGTGTACTAAACACATTTTTGGAATTAACTTGATATAAAATTAAAATATCAACCTTTCATAAAGTGTTTTAAGAGAAGCTGAAAGACCTTCAACTTTTCTCTCTCAGAATACTGTAGATACCACTTTGGATTAGCCTTTCTATCCAGACAGTAAATTTGAGAAACATCTTTGGCATAAAAGAACATTTCTAAATTCTGACCTTGAAGGAGGGTTGGTCTTCAAATCACCTTTTCTCTAGTTACTTCAGGAGCTCTGTTTCATGCTTCCTACAAAGCAAATCGATTTTTAAAGAGGAGGTAACATTCAAATAAAAAACCTGGTACTCTGGCATTTCCAGGCTGGCCACATAAGGAGCTCTGTAAACCCTCTCTCATACGAAACAGGCATAACTAGTAAAAATTATTATTTTAAAAAACAACTATTGAAAGTCTTTAGAAAATGTCCTAAGGAAATACATCCAATGGAGAAACATTTATTAATCAGTAATAACAGTGAGAGTTTGAGGCATTTAAGCCAAGACCCTCTCCCTGCACCTCCCCATCCCTAGCTCAGTATGACGGAAGCTCCACTCTATATGGATATAGCCAAGAAGCCAAAGGTTTCCTCTCTACCCAGGTCCTACTACAGAGATACTGCATTACCCCAAGATTGGGTGCCAGCATTTCTTGTCATCCCCAGTTTTGTAGGACAGAAGCTCTGTCCACGCAGAAACAGCTGAGAAGTCTGGGGTTTCCTTCCTACACCAACTCCTCATTCCAGGACATAAGGTCTTCAGGTGTGGCAGCTGGAAAAATCCTGTGTCCCAATTGCCCTCACTCCAGCTTACTTGTAAGGAACAGTTTCTCCACCAGGAGAGGCAAGGCAAGAAGTTACCTTTCCCACCCTGTGCCCTACTTGTAAGCAGAGGTTTTACTACAAAGGAGCAGGCCACTCTCACTCTCCACAGCTTCAGAGCAGTGAGGCACATTTAACCAAGAGGTAGAGGGAGGCCATGAAAATACACAGCTTGGTAGCCCTCCCCAAGTGAACTGATTTCTATTTGGAACAGAGCATGGATAAGTTTAAGCTAGTGGTATGAAGATATTGGCAGTAAGCAATTAAGAGAATGTTGATAACTCCAAGAGAGTAATGAGTTAAGCCAGGGAAGTTTAACAGAGAAAAGAAAAAAGAATCAGCAAACTTGAAGCAAGATCAGTAGAGATTATGTATCCTGAAGAATACAGAGAAATAATAATGAAAAAAATAAACAGATCATCAGAGAAATATCAGACATAACTAAGCACACCAACATATACGTAATTGAAAACACCAGGAGAGAGAGAAAGGATCAGAAAAAAATATTTGAAAAATAATGGTTGAAAACATTCCCAAATTAATAAAAATCATTAATCTAAGATACAGAAGCTCAGTGAAATACAGATGACACAAAGAAGTTTATATCCAGACACATCTTATTAAAAACTTTGAAAGCCAAAGTCAAGAAGGAAATTTTAAAAGCAGTAAGAGAAAAATCATATATACAAGGAAACGCCAGGATCAACAGCTAACTTCTAATCTGAAAGAATGGAGGCCAAAGGACAGTGAGATAACATATTCAAAGAGATGAAAGAAAACCATTGTCATGAAGAAACTTACACCCAGCACAACCATCTTTCATGTTCAGTAGCACAGGATGACTATAGTTAACAATAATTTATTGTATATTTCAAAATAACTAGAAGAGTGGAACTGGAATGTTCCTAACAAAAAGAAATGATAAATGTTTAAGGTGATGGATATCTCAGTTACCCTGATTTGATCATTACACATTGTTTGGTTGTATCAAAATATTACCTCTACCCCATAAATACATACAACTATTAGGTATTCATAAAAACTAAAAATTATAAAAGATAGTAAATATATCCCTACTTACAAAAAGCAGAGAATTCACTGCTATTAGCCTGCATTAGAGGAAATAACAAAGAATGTTCCTTCAGGTTGAAGGGACATAACCCAGACAATAATCTGAATCTACACACAAAAAACAAATAGCACTAATAAAAGTAAGTGTGCAGGTAATTATAAAAGAAAGTATAATGTCATATTTCTTACCCTTTTCAGTGCTTAACTATTTTAAAAAGCAATGTATAAAACTATAATAGAGAATATACAAATATATAATGTATATATTTTCATTGTTGGGCCTATAGAAATATATTACAAAAAAACAGCACAGAGGAGACAGATGGCAGCAAGGCTGTACTGAAATAAGGAATAACACCAAATGGTAACATGAGTCAGAGGAACAAAGAAAGAGAACTAGAAATGGTAAATAAGAGAGTTTATAGACAAAGTCTATAAATATTTATTTGATCTTTTTTCTTTTCTCAGATTTTTTAAAAAGAGAACAAATTATATAAACTAATAATGGGTTTGGTATGCATAAAAATAGTTCCAAAAGAGAAGAAATAGAGCTATGTAGAAATAACTTTTCTAAATCTCACTTGTATTAAGTTAGTGTAAACCTGAAGCAGATTATTGATAAGATATATATAATGCAAGCTTAGAGCAATCACTAAAGAAAATAAAACATTGTCATGAAGTATATTAAAAGGCCTATATACCAAAAACTAGTAGGATTTATCCCAGGATTTCAGGAGTGGTTCAACAAATGAAAATCAGTCAACATATTACACAAGATTAATAGAATGAGAGGGGAAAAAAAACATGATTATCTTAATTGTTGCTGAAAAAAAAAACATTTAACAAACTCCAGTAACCTTTCATGATTGAAAAACAAAAACACTCAATAAACTAGGAATAGAAGGGAACTTTCTCAATATGATAAAGGCCATATATGAAAAACCTGCAACTAACATCATACTCAATGGTGAAAGCTTCTTCCGTAAAATAAGAAACACAACAAGTATGCCCAGTTTTACCACCTCTATTTATCATAGTACTGGAAGTTCCAGCTAAAGTCATTAAGCAAGAAGAAGAAATAAAAGGCATCCAAATTTCAATAGAAAGGCTATCTCTCTCTCAGATTACCTTATCTTATATGTAGAAAACTCTTCAGAAAATAAAAGCTGTTAAGAGAAAATAAATAAATTCAGCAAAGTTGCAGGATACAAAATTAACACCAAAAATTTGGTTGTATTTCTCTACACTAGCAATGAAAAATCTGAAAGTGAGATTAAGGAAACAATTCCATTTGCAATATCATCAAAAAGAATAAAAAACTTAGAAATAAACTTAACTGAGAAAGTGAAAGACTTAGACATTGAAAACTATAAAACGTTGTTGAAAGAGATTAAAGAAAGAACTAAATAGATGGAAAGACATTCCATATTCATGAATTGGAAAACTTGAGATTATTAAAATGACAATACAACCCCAGCAGATTCAATCTAATTCTTATCAGAATCCCCAAAGCACTTTTTATACAAATGAAAAAGCCCCTATCAATATTTAAATAAAATTTGAAAAAGCCCAGAATAAGCAAAACAATTTTACAAAAGAACAAAGTTGGAGGATTCACCCTTCTTGACTTCAAAACTTACTATAAACTACATTATTCAAAACAATGTGGTACTGAATGAGGATAAACCTATAAATCAATGGAATAGAGCTGAGAGGCCAGAAATAAACCTACATACATACAGTCAATTGATGTTTAACATAGTCTTTGTCAAGATCATTCAGTAGGGAAGTAACAGTCTATTCAACATAAAGGTAGGAAAAGTGGATGTTCACATGCAAAGATTGAAGTTAGACCCTTACCAAAATTAACTCAAAATGAATCAAAGTTTTAAATCTAAAAGCTAAAACTATAAAATTTTTAGAAGATATATAGGCAGATCTTCATGATCTTGGATTTGGCAGTGGTTTTTTAAAAATCACCCCAAAAGCACGGGCAACAACAACAACAAAAATAGATTATTTGGACTTTATAAAATTTAACAACTTCTGTGTATCAAAGAACACTATCAAGAGAGTAAAAAGACAATCCACAGAATGTGATAAAATATTTGCAAATTATGTATCTGATGGAGGTTCACTATCTAGAATATGTTAATAATTTCCACAACTTAACAACAAAAAGTCTAATTGGACAAAGGACTTGATGAGACATTTCTCCAAAAAGATATACAAAGAGTCAATAATCACATGGAAAGATGATACTCGACATCATTAGTTATTAAAGAAATGCAAACGAAAAGTATAATGAGCTGCCTCTTCAAACCTACTAGATTGACTATAAAAATAAATAAATAAATAAATAAAAACAGAAAATAACAAGTTTTGGCAAGAACCTAGAGAAATTGGAACTCTCTTTTGTTACTGGTGGGAAAGTAAATGCCACAGCCACTGTAGAAATTGATTTAGAGTTAACTCAAAATAGTTAAACATAGAATTACCTTCGAACCCAGCAATTCCACTTCTACATATATAACCAAAACAATTGAAAACAAGAACTCAAGCAGATACTTGTATACAAATGTTCATAGTAGCACTAATCACAATAGTGGAAATAATACAAGTGTCCGTCAACACATGAATTGATTAAAAAATGTAGTGTATACATATAATGGTATATTGTTCAGCCATTAAAAGGAATGAGGTTCTGATACATGATACAACATTAATTAACATAGAAGACATTATGCTAAGTGAAATAAGCCAGACCCAAGAGGGCAGATATTATATAACTTCATGTTTACTAGATATCAATAGACAAATTTGTAGAGACAAAGTAGATTCAAGGATACCAGCAGCTGAGATGAGGGGGCAATGGAGAGTTATTGCTTAATGAATACAGTTTAATTTTGGGATGATGAAAAATTTTGGATATCAAAAGAGGTGATAATTGCACAACATTGTGAATTTAATTAATGCTACTGAATTTCATATTTTAAATGGTTAAGTGGCAAATTATATATTATATATATTTTACCCCAAAGTATAGTGAAATCAAGAAAGAAATTAAAATGTTACACTCCAAAATATCCACCAACACAAAATAATAAGTCAGAAGGAAAGTGACAAGAAAACAAATGAAACACATAGAAAAAGAAAAAGAAAATGGCAGATGTAAATCTAACTGTATCAATAATAATATTAAATGTTCATCGATTGAGCAATCCAATCAAAAGACAAATATTGTCAGAATGGATAACAAAAGAAATCTTAACTATATGCTGTCTAAGGACATACAATTTAGATTGAAAGGGGTAATTTAGTTGAAAATAAAAGAAGGGAAAACATGTACCATGCAAAGAGTAACCCTAGAGAGCCAAAGGGACTATACTAATACCAGAAAAAATAAACTCTAAAACAAAAGGTGCTACTAGAAATAGGGAAACTTATATAATGATAAAAAGTTAATTCCCTCAAAAAGATATAACAATTACAAACTTATATGCAGTTAATAATATAGCCCCAAATTGCATAAAGAATACCTGACAGAACTGAAAAGAGAAATAGAAAAACCAGGAATAAAACCTGGAGGATTCAATACTTCACTTTCAATAAAGGATAGAATAATTACTCAGAAGATTACCAAGAAAATAGAGTTGAAAAAAATAAAAACGCAATCATTCTAACACACATCTGTAGAACACACCACTTAACAATAGCAGAATGTATATTCTTCTCAAGTGTTCATGGAACATATTCTAGGTTAGACAACATGCTACCTGTAAATCAAGCCTCAACACATTTAAAAGGATTGAAATCATATGAAGGGTCTTTTTAAAACACAATGAGATGAAATTAATAACATAAAGAAATTGTGGAATATCACAAATATGTGGAAATTAAACTATACACTCCGAAATCAAAAGGGAAATTAGAAAAGGTTTTGAGATAAATGAAAGCAAAAATACAACATTACTAAAACATATAGTAACACAGCTAAAGCAGGGTTTAGAGGGAATTTTAAAGCTGTAAACATCAATATTTAAAAAGAAAAATGGTTCCCAAATAAAAAACCTGACCTGCCACCTTAAGACACTGAAAAAAGAAGAGCAAACTAAATCTAATGTAAGGAGAAACAGGAAATAATAAATAAAACAGGAGAAATTTCTCAAATGGATAATATAAAAGTGACAGAAAAAATTAACCAAACCAAAAGTCAGTCCTTTAAAATTGTTAACAAAATTGGCAAACCTTTAGTACAACTGACCAAGAATAAAAGAGATGATTCAAATTACTAGAATGACATATGAAAGAGTGATATTACTACCAACCTTACAGAAATAACATGGATTGCAAGAGAATATAAACAACTGTATGTTGAAAAAAATTACATAACTTAGATAAAATGGACGAATTCCTAGGATGACACTAACTACAAAATTAACACAAACTACTACTTCTGTTTCAAGAAGGAGGAGAAAATATAAATTGGCCTATAACAATAAAAGGAATGCCTTAATAATATTAAAATACCACAGAAAGTAAAGCCCAGGTCCAGATGGTTTCAAACAATTGATGCTATCAACTATCAGAATATATCAACTATTTAAAAATATATCAACTATTTAAATAAGAAGTATTAATTCTTCAAAACTCTTCCAAAAAATAAAAGAGAAAGGAGCATTTTTCAACTTATTCTGTAAGGTCAGTATTTCCCTAATACCAAAGCCAGACATAGATATACCAGTATATATATTTTAAATCTACAGACCAATATCATTTAAGTAGATAGATGTGAAAACCCTGAACAGAGTATTACCAAAGCAAATCCAGTCACATATAAAAATGACTATACATCAAGACAAAGTGGAAATGATCCCAGAAATGGAAAGTTGTTTTAACAGCTGAAAATCAATTAATATAATATACTATATCTTAGAATAAAGGACAGAAACACATGATAGGCTCTACTGATGCAGAAAAGTCATTTGATAAAATCCAACATCCTTTCATGAATTTTTGTTTAAATTCAGTAAACTAATTATAGACGATAACTTCCTCAGTCTAACAAATGGTATTTTTGAAAAACTCATAGCTAAAATTATATTTAATTTTAAAGACTGAATTTTTTTTCCTAAGATCAAGAATGAGACAAGAATGTATACTCTCACTAGTTCTATTCAGCATTGTACTAGAGGTTCAGGCCAGACTGATTAGGCAAGAAAATGAAAAAAAAAAAAAAAGAAGAAAAACATCCAAATTAGAAAGGAAATAAAACTATCTCTATTTGAGGATGACATGATTTTTTATATAAAAAAATCCCAAAGAATCTACTTAGAACAATTAAAACTAAAACCAAGTTCAACAAAATTGCAGAATGCAAAAACAATATACAAAATCAATTGTATTTCTACAAATTAGCTGTGAACCATCTGAAAATAAAACCAATAAAACAATTTTATTTACAGTAGCATCAAAAAGAATAACATACATAGCAATACATTTAACAAAAGAAATGGAAAACACACTGAAAACTATAAAGCATTGAAAGAATTTAAAGGTAAATAAATGGAGAGATATTTCATGTCATGGATTGAATAATTAATATAAATAAAATACCAGTGTTCTCTAAAGTAATATACAGATTCAGTACAGTTTCAATCAATATCCCAGCTGGCTTCTTTCCTGAAATTGACAAGCTGATTTCATATGAAAATTTAAATGATGCAGAATAGCCAAAACAATCTTTAAGAAGAAGAAATTTGATAGATTCACACTGCCCAATTTCTAAACTTAATGTAAAGCAGTATATAACTGGCCTAAGACTAAACAGATAGCTCATTGGGATAAAATTGAAAGTCCAGATAGATACCTCGCCATTTATGGTCAATGGATTTTACAAGAGTGCCAGGACAACCCAATGGGAAGAAGTAGTCTCTGAGACTACTGAGTATACATGCACATGCAAATGAATGAAATTAGACCTCTATCTCACACATACATAAAAATGTACCAAATAGACCTCAATGTAAGAACTAAAACTATAAAACTGTTAAAACATGGGAGAACAAAAGAGAAGATAACCCACAGAATGGAAGAAATTATTGCAAATCATGTCTCTTATAAGGGTCTAGTATTCAAATTATTTAAAGAGCTTTTACAACTGAATAAGATGCCGTGTGTGGTGGCTCACACCTGTAATCCCAGCATTTTGGGAGGCCGAGGTGGGCAGATCACGAGGTCAGGAGTTCGAGACCATCCTGGCTAACACAGTGAAACCCCATCTCTACTAAAAATACAAAAAATTAGCCGGGCGTGGTGGCGGGCGCCTGTAGTCCCAGCTACTCGAGAGGCTGAGGCAGGAGAATGGCGTGAACCCAGGAGGCAGAGCTTGCAGTGAGCAGAGATCACGCCACTGCACTCCAGCCTGGGCAACAGAGTGAGACTCTGTCTCAAAAAAACAAAAATAAAAACAAAAAACCAACAACTGAATAAGAAAAAGAAATTTAACCTAATTAAATAATAGGTAAAGCTTATAAGTAAATATTTCTTCAGCAAATATGTGTGAATGTCCAATAAAATCATGAAAAAATAGTTGGCAACATTAGCCAGTAGGCAATCAAAGTCACAATGAAATACCTCTTCACACAGACAAGTATAGCTGTAATTTAAAAGAATGATAATAATAAATGTTGGTGAGGATGTGGAGATATTAAAACCCTCATGATTGCTGTTTGAAATGTAAAATGGTATAGCTATTTTGGAAAAAATATGGCAGCTCCTCCAAATTTTAAAGTTGGTGTTATCATAAGATTGAACAATTTTACTCCTAGGTATATATTCCTAAGAAAAATAAAAATGTATCCATAGAAAAACTTACACGTGAATTTTCATGGAAGCATTATTTATAATAGTCAAAAAGTGGAAACAACCCAAATGTCTATCAACTGTTAAATAGATCCGCAAAATGTGGCACATCCATTACTATTTACATCCAATGAAATATTATTCAATAAAATGCATAAAATACTGACACACGCTACAAGATGGATGAACCTTGAAAATACCATGTTAAGTGAAAGAGGCCAGATTGAAAAGACCACACGTTATATGATTCCACTGATATGAAATCTCTCGAATAGGAACCTCTGCAGAGACAGAAAGTAAATTAGTAGTTGCCTAGGCTGGGGTGTTGGGGAGAAACAGAGAATGACTGCTAGAGGTTATGGAGGTTTTTGTAGGAGGGAATAAGAAGGTGCTCGGGGGAGGGGAGTGAAAATACTCTAAAATTGATCATGGCAATGTTTGCACATGCCTGCAAATATACTAAAAGACATAGAATTTTACACTGTAATTGGGTCTATTACATGGCATATGGATTATATCTGAATAAAGATGTTTAAAAATTAATGATTTGGGAAAAAATTGAAAACCAAAGATGAGATAAGTCACCTATAAATTATACATTTATACTGAAGAATTAGTTATATGTAAATATAAGATGAGGATGATTTGGAGAATTAAAATCTCTATTAAGTGTTAGTCAATTCTGGGTTATGAGTATATTGGAGTTTGCTACTTTTTCTTCAAGTTGTAGTTTTTAAAAAACTTTAAAAAGTGAAAAATAAAAAATAAAACAGGAAAGGATTTCACTATTACTTTATCTCCCAGGATATTTAAGGTTTGGTCTCATTCTCTAAATGTACTTAAAACAAGACCGTTGGACTTACATTTTGTTAACATAACAAAAATGTATTTATCATTTCAGAGATTTCCGCATATTTCGCAACTGGCTCCTCAATGACATACCATTTTCAAGAACATTACACTTTAAGTGAAAACTCCAGCTCTCTCGTTTCTTCATTACACAGAGATGTAACATTGACCAGAGAAATGATCACACTGAGCTTCCGAACCACACGAACTCCGAGCTTATTGCTGTATGTGAGCTCTTTCTATGAGGAATACCTTTCAGTTATCCTCGCCAACAATGGTGAATATCTTTTGTGTAAAGAAAAAGAGAACCCTGAGTTAGAAAAATAGGACTGTAATGACATGGGTCTTTTCAGCAGTCAAACTACAAACGATGAGAGAAAACTGTATGCCCTCCAATGGGTTTGGTTTTTCAGTGCCTCCCTTAATGGTTATTATAAAAGCTAGCATTTCAAGATTAAATTAAGATGCTTTTCTCCCATTACATGTTTGATAATTTAACGGAGTTGATATGCAGTTATATTTCTTATTATTGATAGGATGACTTTAATAGTACATGATGACTCAAATTGGTTTTGCAGTTCATTTTGAAATAAGATATCTAGATACATGACATACATTCCCTCCTCATTCTAAGCAAAATAGAGGAGCATTTATGTGGATGTTATAGTGCAACTATATAAAAGCCAATTCCTATAAGCAACAGATAAGTACAGCTGTTCTTTATCTCGTCAGTGGCTGAAAAACTAGTTATATCACTTTTATAGAAGAAAAGTGTAATGACAGCCTCTCAAACAGTGGTAATTGGGGCGTTGCAAGGTTTTCACAGTTGAACAAGAAGACCAAGCTTTAAGTTTGTTAGGTACACAGCACAAAAATTTCATGTCTAGAAAAAAATCTACAAAATCTCTGATTAGGCTGGACACGGTGGCTCACGCCTATAATCCCAGCACTTTGGGAGGCCAAGGCGGGTGGATCACGAGGTCAGGAGATCGAGACCATCCTGGCTAACACGGTGAAACCCCATCTCTACTAAAAATACAAAAAATGAGCCGGGCATGGTGGTGGGCACCTGTAGTCCCAGCTACTCGGGAGGCTGAGGCAGGAGAATGGCGTGAACCCAGGAGGCGGAGCTTGCAGTGAGCCGAGATCGCGCCACTGCACTCCAGCCTGGGTGACAGAGCGAGACTCCACCTCAAAAAAAAAAAAAAAAAAAAATCTCCGATTAACAGGATCTTAGTATAAGCTAAAAGAGAATTACAGATAATGAGGGTACATCTGTGTAGGAGAGGAGTATGTATATTAGAAGATGTAGATACTATGGAAACCTTGTCTCCTGACAAAACCCTTTCTTGTCCTCATTTTTGGATTATGGCAGAAGACTTAAAATAATCTGGCTATAAAAAATCTTTATGCACATATCAGTAATACATTAAAATGAGCCTTATTAGAAGTTATAATTACAGGAACTGAATGTTGATACAATATTGCATAGAGTTTCATCATTTCATAAATATCAAAGTCATAATGAATTTAGATCTGAGTTCTGAGCTCATATGCATAATTTAAACCTTTTCATTTTTAAATGAAAAGCTTTGGGGAGACTGCTTATTAACAACACATTTAGTCTTGACTTTTAAAATAGCATCATTGGACTCAGAGTCTGGCACAGGAATAGCACCTAAGTAATCACTGTTCCAGGAAAGATAACTATTGGGTGCATCTAAATTGATGCTAAATAGATTCAAAAGTGCTATAAGTAAATAATAATAAAAGTGCTCTAGAATCTGTATCAAGAGTTTTATAAAATACCACTTTAATTTTAAATGCCATTTATTTTTCTTTTTAGGAAGTTTGCAGATTAGGTACAAGCTAGATAGACATCAAAATCCTGATGCATTTACCTTTGATTTTAAAAACATGGCTGATGGGCAACTTCACCAAGTGAAGATTAACAGAGAAGAAGCCGTGGTCATGGTAGAGGTAATCCCACAAATGCAAAAGTCAAACTAACTAATATTATTATTTTGAGAACAAATAATCTAATGAAAAAATTTGATAATAAATATTAATAGAAGAGCAACCCATTCAGTGCTGCTCTTCCATAAGTCAAGAAGAGGCTAAATATGGCCAGGATCTGGGAGAGAGGAGGTGGTTGTTTATTCTGTATTGCTTTGTTTTGTTTGTTTAGCAATGCAATTCCGTCAAAGGTATTATTAATATTTTACTATTTAAAATATCAAAATATCTTTATTTGTTTTACTTTACTCAATAGGGGAATGTTCTCTAGTTTATCATAGTGACTACTGGTGGAATCTATTCATTGATATTGCAGTGGGAACTTGTCTTATTCCGATTATAAAAGAACAAATACTTTAGCAACTTAAAAACACGGTTTAAAAGCACACAACATAGTTATTAAAATGGGAATAAGTAAGAAAATAGACCTGAGTCACCACAGAGGAAGTAAATTACACATTGTCATTGGCATTGGAAGGAAAATATACTGTATAGAGAACAGCAGTGCTTGGTTTTATGTTTCATATTTTCTCCACAGAATGAGTACGTATTTAAGTTTAAAACAGCCAGTTCCATCTTTTTCATGGATTCTGCCAATTATAGATCCTTCCATTATGAAGAAGAGTAAAGCCAGCAAGTGGGTACATCGTGGATAGGGTGGTAGCTGATGGCATCATAGGAATTGCTTATAAAATAGCTTCCCCTTCTAAATGATTAATTATTTGAAGGTGGCTTCTTGAGCTTTTGTAGTGGTACTTAAAAGTGATTTATTTTCATCTTTCCTTTCCTCATCTTCCTTTGCTTCCTTATCATTAAAATTGTACTTTGTGTTGATGTTTGCTTCTCATGGGACATCTAATAGGTTAACCAGAGCGCAAAGAAACAAGTCATCTTGTCCTCAGGGACAGAATTCAACGCCGTCAAATCTCTCATATTGGGAAAGGTTTTAGGTAAGTAGGAGAAAGAGCTTTTTCCCAAAAAATCTAAGTGTCATGTCACAAACTCTGGAAGCATTCATCATGCTGAAAGAAGCTCCTTGTCTTACTTGAATAATAATTTCACAGTGAGTGACAATCAAGGTGCAAACTGTACTCTTGCCTGAGTGTACATATAATCATGAGTAAGTGCTGCCTGTGAGATGTGCAAGGGCGTTCCTGGAAAAATACCTCCACACTTAACCTCTCACTTGGCAATCATGCATAATGAATCACGGTATTTTTCTAACCCTTCTTGAAAAGTGAAATGTTATCAAAGCTGACACGAAGTTCACAGATTATGTATGTATTAATCAACATCAACTCCGGAGACCATCATTCAATGATAAAACTACATTTGAGTTGAACACAAGAGAAAAAACTGGTAATCTTATTACAGCAGATGAATACAGTTTTATTTCTCTCTCAAGCCCTGCTTTGCCTGTTGTTTCCATCCTTTTTGACTTTAGTATCTAACAGGAATGGGGAGGCATATTCATAAATATCTGTTACGCAAGGTAGAAAGTTACAGTAATTGTCTATCATATTGTCTATCATAACCTGTTGTAAAAGCACAGTTAGCTTTACATTTAATAAAGGAACTGAGGAAAGTAATCTTTTTTAAAAAAAACCCATCTTATGTAACTCAATTAAGAAAATGAACTATACTTTAATATTAGGATCAAAAAGTTGAATAATATTTATTATATACATCTTTGTTTCCTTCCAAATAAAGGAGAACATGGAATTGAAGGTGTTAATGTTTTCATTCAAGGATGGTGTATTCAAAGGCATGTAACTTACGGTATAAAAATCTACATTGAAATTCAGCAACGAAGTATATACTCAGAAGCAATTGATCTCAGAAAATTATAAATATTCATTTTGCCTGTCCTTGGAGGTAGAGATAATCATCAAACATTAATAAAACACTTTATACTTTGAAAAACTGTATTTTAGGATTGGTTCTGCTATACATTTTTTGCCACTCTCACATCATTTAGTAATTATACCAAAACTACAACTTTATCTTTAAATTTGGAATTATATAGGAAGTGCTTTCCTTAACTTATAGTAAAATAGACCAACAAGTTGGCTAATAGAGAAGCCACTAATTTTACAAATAAAGTTACCCAAAACACGGTGTTCTAAGTTACCAATATATTTCTCTTGAGTCCCTGTAAATCTTTGATTCATCCCTTCATTTAAAAATATTTGGTGAGCGGCTGGGCGTGGTGGCTTACGCCTGTAATCCCAGCACTTTGGGAGGCCGAGGCGGGCGGATCACGAGGTCAGGAGATCCAGACCATCCTGGCTAACACGGTGAAACCCTGTCTCTACTAAAAATACAAAAAAAATTAGCCGGGCACGGTGGCGGGCGCCTGTAGTCCCAGCTACTCGGGAGGCTGAGGCAGGAGAATGGCGTGAACCTAGGAGGCGGAGCTTGCAGTGAGCAGAGATCCTGCACTCCAGCCTGGATGACAGAGCGAGACTCTGTCTCAAAAAAAAAAAAAAAAAAAAAAAAAAAAAACTTGGTGAGCATCTGCTATGAACAGTTTATTAAGCACGGAGAAAGCCTCTGAATGAGAGAAACACTATACCTACCCACCCTCACTACACTCACATGTTAATAGGTACATAGGGTAATATATGAGCAATTCTAATAAAATAATGCTCATATCCAGCCTAATTTATTATTATGCACCCTAACAATGCCTTAGAAAAAAATGGCCCAAAATCCATCATAATTAAGATGCTGTTTCTGAGCACCTCAATATGATTTTGCCATTTCTGAGTAGTCTTAGTGAATGAAGACCATTCAGATTGATTATCACAAGATCAATTCAGAGTAAACCTATTTAAATATAAGCTTTTTAGATTTTGAATTTTCTATATAGCTTTGAATTTTATCCAAGAGGTAGCTTTAAAGAATGCAAACACCTAAAATACTTTATAATTCAGTAAAGATGATCCATCATAAATTAAGATTTGTTTTTAGATACTTTGGTATTATTGGTATTCTGTTTTGCTTTGTGTGTGTACATGTGCACATGTATTTAAACACTTTTGAGATGAGTATCACTCTGTCGCCCAGGCTGGAGTGCAGTGGCGCAATCTCGGCTCACTGCAACCTCCGCCTCCCAGGTTCACACGATTCTCCTGCCTCAGCTTCCTGAGTAGCTGGGACTACAGGCATGTACCACCACGCCTGGCTAATTTTTGTATTTTTAGTAGAGACGGGGCTTCATCATGTTGGTCAGGCTGGTCTCGAATTCCTGACCTCGTGATCCACCCGCCTCAGTCTCCCAAAGTGCTGGGATTACAGGTGTGAGCCACCGCGCCCGGCCCCTTAAACACTATCTTAAAAATTACATATATATATCAAAAATACAGAGTGCAAAAATGGAAGATGCCTTTTTGTCTGCTCCCAAAAAGTAAAAAAAGTTAGCCTGTAAACAGTTGCATATGAATACAGCTGAGCTTATATACCTTAGGAGGTATACATTCTAGGCTGAAGAAAAGAAAACCCACTGAAGGACTATATTTCAAATAGAGCTCTAGGTATGTAAGAATGCCAAATAGTTTTGGTAATTAAATATTTCTGGAAATTGCCTTTTGAGTTTTGTAAGGAGATGTCACATAAGACATACAGTTTTAACATTTAAAATTCATCAACCTATGTATTTTATATTACTTCTATGCTATGGTGTTTGTCTCATTTAGAAGAAATGTTTTATGTTGGGTCTGGGATTTGATTTTACCTGATTTACGAGCTAGGAAGTTAACAGCTTTTAACTGTTTTGTGGATGCTGTCCTGGTACAGAGACAAAGGACCCTATTACTCACGGCACGGCAAGCCTCGTGAGCAGCAGTTCATTTGCATTGTTTTCCCTTGGCCCTGAAGCCTTATGGGGCAGTGACGGGTGCAGATGAAGGCTGCACCTGTGGCCATGTTTGCACTGTAGCAGAGGAACACTGAGTTTGGGGAATCCACCGATTTTGTAACAAGCACTAAGCAAGTCTATTCTTTGTCCTGGAGGGGGTCATGACCTTATCCTTCAATGTTGCTTGCTTCAATTATAGCCTTGAGAAGTGGCCTGAGTAAAGTGCTGTCAGCATCTTGCACTTCTTGGCAAACCCAGCAAAGCATGAGGAGACACTCAGAGCCAGTGGTGGATTGCCTCTTTCAACATTATAGAATAAAAACACCCAAAAACCCTATAAAAAGTCAAGAAGATAGGAGATTTTGTGGGGTTTTTTTCCCAAGAAAGAGCAATGATTATATCAATTAGTCCTTTATTGGTAAAATGAGGAGGCTGCACTAAGTTATCTTCAAGATTCTCTTCGATAGAAAATTCTAAGATTGTTCTAACTTGGTCCATTAACCAGGATTCAGTGGGCATCACAGATGTCTTGAGGTCTTTGAAAGTATAAGTCAACAAAACTAATGCTGTCCAATAGAACTTTCTGTGATGATGAAAACGTGTAAAGTCTGTGCTGTCCTATGTGGTAGTCCCCAGACACACTTGAGATAAATGAGTTTTTAAGCACTAGAAATGGGGCTAGTATAACTGAGGGACTAAATTTTACATTTTATTTCATTTTAATTGATTTGAGTTTCTTTTTTTTTTTTTTTTTTTGAGATCGAGTCTCACTCTGTCATCCAGGCTGGAGTACAGTGGCGTGAACTCAGCTCACTGCAAGCTCTGCCTCCCGGGTTCACGCCATTCTCCTGCCTCAGCCTCCCAAGTAGCTGAGACTGCAGGCACCCACCACCATGCCCGGCTAATTTTTTTTATTTTTTATTTTTTTTTATTTTTATTTTTAGTAGAGACGGGGTTTCACCATGTTAGCCAGGATGGTCTTGATCTCCTGACCTCATGATCCGCCCGCCTCGGCCTCCCAAAGTGCTGGGATTACAGGCATGAGCCACCGTGCCTGGCCTGATTTGAATCTCAATGGTCACATGTGGCTAGTGTCTACCATATTGCACAGTGTAGAAGACTGTCCACTTACTTATCTAGTCGTTTTTTCCTTTAGTTCAACCAAGTGGCACCCTTTTGTAAGGATAGACATCTGTCTATTTGGCATGACTTCAATGGGCTGGGAAGACAACCCTATCTCAAATATTTTTTTTCCCACAACGTCAAGTGCCAATATTTCAAATTCTGTATTAGAGATCCATTCTTTTGACTCTTCTGCCAAAATACACATGCCCCTGAAAGTGTTATCAAAAGCCATGACCAGGAATTTGTGCAAACATGAATTTACTCGGGAGCAGGCTTTGATGGAACAGAATAGAGAATTGGAAGGGGGCTGGGTGCAGGACCCCGAAGTTGAGAAAGCCCAGAAAGGGAGGCAGACAGGTCACCATACATTTTTGATTAGAGCTATTCAGCTAAGAGTAGCAAAAGTGAAGGGTTTTGACCATGTTGCCATGTCAAGGTAATAGACAGGAAACTGTATCTACATGTCACCACAGTTAAGAGTTGAGTTCTACTGAATATTGGTTAACTGATAAACAATAAATAGTAGTGCTGGCTAAAATCTGGGAGTACAGAATCACGAGTTTCTTCCTGGATTGTGGTGTGATTGCCAGGTACACTTCAGAGTGGGCAAAGGAACTCCTTTCTTTCAGATTTTCCAGCTTAAACAAAGTATATATGACCATTTTCTAATTAAGTCATTTATTAAAGATGTAAGAAAGTTCTACTCTGTTTCATCAGCTCCAAATTAAACAATTGCTCAAGGTTTTTATTCAGGGTTTTAAAGAGAAGTCTGGCCGGGCGCAGTGGCTCATGCCTGTAATCCTGACACTTTGGGAGGCCAAGGTGGGCAGATCACAAGGTCAAGAGATCGAGACCGTCCTGGCCAACATGGTGAAATCCCGTCTCTACTAAAAATACACAAAAAAAATTAGCTGGGTGTGGTGGTGCATGCCTGTAGTCCCAACTACTTGGGAGGCTGAGGCAGGAGAATCGCTTGTACCCAGGAGGCGGAGGTTGCAGTGAGCCGAGATTGCACCACTGCACTCCAGCCTGGGGACAGAGTGAGACTCCATCTCAAAAAAAAAAAAAAAAAAAAAAAAAAAAAAAAAAAAAGGTCTGCCCTAAAATTATGTGATTCTTCTCTAAACTACAGTTACTTAATGTAAAACCATCTTGTATCATGTCAAAAGATAAAAATACTCTTGTTAAGATCGTGTGGCAGACTTTATTCAGGACTATGGCAATAGGTATAGGAATTACTGGAATGGGGCTTTGCAGTTGGGGAAAGAGACTGAGCTCAACTTCAAATACAACAAGGAGAAGTGTGGATTCGTAGCCAAGGAGCAGAGTGGCTGGGGTGGGGTGTCTGAGTGGAAAACTACAAAATGGGAGAGTAATTCTTGCTAAACTGACTCACCAGGTTTCCTGGTGATGCCAGGCCAGTGTTGTCAGACATCACCTGTGGGGTGGTGAGAGGGATGAGAAAGGTGATTAGATATTGAGAGTGATCAGATATTGAGGGTGGGAGATTTGGGTTAAAAGCAAATTGGCAGGATTCTTGCTAAGCTGGACGATGAAAGACCAAAGGTCAGGCTGGTTGAGCAGAGAGCTTAGAGTAGCCTGACCAACATCTGGTCATAGGGAGAATCTTTGTCCATCATGTCAAAGTTCTTTCTTGGAAAAAATAAATTATGTAAAGATCCTTGAACTGGAAACATCATAGAAAAATAGAAATGTAAGAGAAATTGTCATTCTGGTCAGGATCTAAATGTACTAGAGTAAAACCAAAGAAGAGTAAAAAGGGAAAAGTGAGAGAAGAAAAAGAAAAATTTCCCAAGCCTCTCATTTAGGGAAGAACTGTTGTGGGGAACCCCGCGGTGGTGTGGGAGGGAGGGTGGGGAGAAAGAACCATGCAATCGCTCATCTCACTGTTGGGAATGGGGGAAAGTTGGAAAAAGAGGATCTGGTTTTCATATAACAGTGTGAAGGCATGATTTTGATTGTGAGGGCTAGGGAAGTTGAGCTCTCAAACTCATAAAAGGGAAAGCAGGAAATAAGAAGGAAACTGATTAAAGCAGCAAAATAAAAGAAAAAAAGATGAAATAATGTGAAATAAATAGTGTAAGATAAAAAATAAAATCAGATATAGTGGTTATTACTCTAAAGACAAATGGACTAAATTCTGTCAAACTAGGTTTAAAAACAACAGTTAAATGCTCTTAGAATATTGAAAATGAAGGGGCATGCCAAGAACTAGCAGGCAACAGCTGATAAATTTAAGAAATGCAGCACTACTTTCAGATAAGATTGAATTTAAGATTGGAATATAATCGAATCTTAAATGAGATAAAGAGGGATATTATCTGATGACAAAAGATACAGTTTATTAAGATAATATGAAAGTCATCATACAAAATAGCAACTATAGTATGAAGGATTTCCAGAGCTCTGCCCTCATCTCCAAGAGTCGCTTTTCTGTAATCCTCCGGATTATTGGCTGTGAGCGCCATTAAAATTTTATTTTAATGCTATATTGTAAAAATTAAATGGCAGAGGATTTCTTAAATTTATGCCATGTAACTGCTTTCCTATGAAGCTCTGTTACTTGCAGAGAGCCAGCCATCTGCACTTGAACAAATCTGTTAAAAACCTGCCTTTCATAACCCTGACAATGGAAATAGTTGCCAAACAGGTAAAGATTCAGGGTGACCTCTCCTGGAGTGAAGGAACGAGGGGATCGGAGGGACCTCTCCTGGAGTGAAGGAACGAGGGTCGCTGTCTTGCAGATGCGGGGTGTCCCTGCGCCCCCATCTCCGCCGCTGCGCCCTAACTGTGTGTTCCCCTTCTGTCCTCAGAGGCTGCCGGCGCGGACCCGGACACAAGGCGGGCGGCGACTAGTGGCTTCACTGGCTGCCTCTCGGCGGTGCGCTTCGGCTGCGCTGCTCCCCTGAAGGCGGCGCTGCGCCCCAGCGGCCCCTCCCGGGTCACCGTCCGCGGCCACGTGGCCCCTATGGCCCGCTGCGCGGCGGGGGCGGCGTCCGGCTCCCCGGCGCGGGAACTGGCTCCCCGACTCGCGGGGGGCGCAGGTGTGTGGCCCTCCACCCCTGCGCACCTGAAACTGCGCTTCTCTCAAATGTTTTTGAATTTCTCAAAAGCCTTCTTTTCTCCGTCTCTGTCATCCTTCTTTTTTTCCTTTTTTAAAATACATTTTTGTGATGTTCTTATTTTAATTCACTTTTAATTGACAAAAGTTTGCTATGTGTAAATTGTGGCGTGATTAAATCAAGCTATTAAACATCATTCTTCCTTTCCCTGTTGTAGGTCGTTCTGGACCAGTGGATGAGGGAGAGCCCTTGGTTAATGCAGACAGAAGAGACTCTGCTGTCATCGGAGGTAACAAGGCCCTGAATGACCTGGTGCTTGTCATTATCGCTTTAGATAATGATACCATTACTTAGCACAATGGGAAATATATGTAAGAATCAATACTCAATGGTGAGGTCAGAGGGGTGCTATGTATTGCGGTTGGTGGTGGTTTTTTGTTTTTTGTTCTTTGTTTTTTTTCTATTTGAGACAAGAGCCTCACGCTGTCACCCAGGCTGGAGTGCAGTGGTGAGATCTCCACTCACTGCAACCTCTGCCTCCTGGGTTCAAGCGATTCTCCTGCCTCAGCCTCCTGAATAGTTAGGGTTATAAGAGTGTGCCACTATGCCTGGCTAATTTGTTGTGTTTTTGGTAGACACAGGGTTTCTCCGTATTGGCCGTGCTGGTTTCGAACTCCTGGCCTCAAGTGATCTGCCCGCCTCAGCCTCCCAAAGTGCTGAGATCACAGGCGTGAGCCACCATGCCCGGCCTTCGTTGATTTTCTGAGGCAGTATTTGCTGATTTCAGCTTCCCTGGGGGTGCTCAGCATGTAAGAATTCTGCTGAAACAATTTTTTTTGAAGAACAGTTACAAAGCTAATAATGAAAAGTTATTAATTTGAAAATAGCTGTATTCCCTAGGACATGCGGGATATTTGTCACGGTAATGACAACTGTTGGACGGACCTGAAGTAATTATGTTCAAAGCAATGGAAACCTCAGCTAATTATCAGAGCATACACTTTATGGTACTTTTCTTCAATGACAAATAGTATGATTTAGATACTCCCATGACAGTGTTTCACTTATTTAAGAAGTTTTTGTTTGTTTGTTTGTTTTTTGAGACGGAGTCTCGCTGTGTCGCCCAGGCTGGAGTGCAGTGAAGCAATCTCGACTTACTGCAAGCTCCGCTTCCCGGGTTCACGCCATTCTCCTGCCGCAGCCTCCTGAGTAGCTGAAACTACAGGCGCCCGCCACCACGCCCGGCTATTTTTTGTATTTTTAGTAGAGGCGGGGTTTCACCCTGTTAGCCAGGATGGTCTCGATCTCCTGACCTCGTGATCCACCCGCCTCGGCCTCCCAAAGTGCTGGGATTACAGGCGTGATTATTTAAGAAGTTTTAAAGGCACACATTATTTAAAGTGTATTGTTATTTTAAAGTGTATAATTCCCTGTCATTAAGGACATTTACAATGTTGTGCAGCAGTAGCCATTGTATGTTTCACTTTTAATCATACTTTGGAAAGAACTAATCTAATAGGCTAAGAATGTTTTGTGGTTATTTTTAATTGAAGAAAAGTGAAGTTAAGCATAGCTTAAAAATATGTTTTGGCAATGAAAACTTTTTTTCTAAAATATAATTTATTTAGAGCTGGTGCAAAAAATAAGCATTCACCTTTCTTTGTTAATTAATGAGTGAATTATTGAAATCTTTGTTTGTTTGAGACGGAGTCTCGCTCGTCGCAAAGGCTGGAGTGCAGTGGCGCCATCTTGGCTCACTGCAAGCTCCGCCTCCCATTCTCCTGCCTCAGCCGCCCAAGTAGCTGGGGATACAGGTGCCCACCACCACGCACGGCTAATTTTTTATATTTTTAGTAGAGACGGGGTTTCACCGTGTTAGCCAGAATGGTCTCGATCTCCTGACCTCATGATCCACCTACCTTGGCCTCCCAAAGTGCTAGGATTACAGGCATGAGCCACCATGCCCGGCTGAGTTATTGAAATCTTAATTGTATTCTTATTCTGCAGACTCTCCATAGCACATACAAGAGTAAACTAGTTGTGTTTGTTTCCTTCAAAATGACAGGAAACAATTTTGACATAATAAAGTTCTGACTAAATTTCAGTTGAGGATATTCACATTTCCATCACTATCTCAATTCTTTTTGTCTTAGAAATCAGTAAGGTGTAAATTAAAAATACATGACCTGATGAACAAAAACTGTTTTAAACAGTTTCCAGTGGGATTGTGGTCAATAATGCATATCTAAAAGGTATACTTTCGGGGTCAATTTTAAATCAAATCCAATCCTAAATCAATCATGCCTTTTTAGGAGATTTTTTTCATTGCAATGCAAAAGCAATTTCAACATGCCGAACATTTTCACGCTAGGTTTCCAAGTCCTACAGACGTTTACACAATGTCAGGGTTAGTACCCAGCTTTTGGTGAGAAGGAAATGGGCAAGTTGATCATAGAACCAGCTCTTTGGAATTGTATTATATTGCTGGTGGTCAAATATCACTGGCAAGATTGACGGAGTAAACGTAAGGAAACATCTTAGCAGTGTTCTCTTCCGCTGAGAAATTCTTAGCCTGAACGAGGGGATGAAAAGGAGTCTGTGGAAGGCTTCCCCTGGGCTTTCCCAAAGGCAATTTGCATTTTCTAATAGGGACTGGCTGAAGATATAAATTAATATTTGTGTGAAGTACTTTAAATGTACGATGTAGGCAGTAAAAGCGTGGGGGAGGAAATATAATTTCTCCTCATCATTCCTAACTTTGTAGTTGGGACAGACCTCTGATTAACAAGAGAAAAACAAGCAAGTTTACTAAGGCATGCGGTCCACAGCACGTGGGAGAAACCTCAGTGAAACTCAAAGCGCAGTGGCTTAGAAGTCTGGCTCATCTTCAACAATACATTTGTGGAGAAATGACAGGACAATGGAAAGCAATTTTAGGTGTCCGAAGGCGAGAAACCGTGGGAAGATAAATATATGGGAAGAAACTAGTGGAGTACGTGTGTTTGTACATTCTTCTGCTGACATCCCTGAGCTGGTAAGAATGGTCTCCGGTAAAAGATAATTTACATCCTGTCTTTAGATGAAAAGAGGGGAGGATCTAGAGAGCTCTTCCTCCATTGGCTGCTTCTTAATTGCCTTTACTTCAAAATATTTGTCAAAAAGGCATATTTGGGGGTGACATATTCTGATTACCTTCAGAAGCTTGTCTTTATACACATTTATTTCTTTTAGGGTAGATTTTACTTTCATTTGTCACTAATATGATTGCTTCAGTACACAGCATTCTGTGGCATGGCTTCATGCTTTAGCACTCTGGCTCTGAATTAAAGCCTGAAACAATTTATAAAGATACTGGTATCCAGGCCTTCCATTCATTTATTCTGATTTACTGACTTAGTGTGCAGCTAGAGTCGAGAATCATGGACACTGCTAATGGTTTCAATATTTTAAAACATTTTGCCCAGGTCTTTCAAATAATCCACATTCCAGGTAAAAAAAAAATGAATAAATATGCCTGCAATATTTTTGGTAATAGGGATTGATTACATATATGCGACCCTACTGCGTTTGAAAAGTATATTATCGGCCGGGCGCGTTGGCTCACGCCTGTAATCCCAGCACTTTGGGAGGCCGAGGCGGACGGATCATGAGGTCAGGAGATCGAGACCATCCTAGCTAACACGGTGAAACCCCGTCTCTACTAAAAATGCAAAAAGTTAGCCGGGCGCTGTGGCGCGCGCCTGTAGTCCCAGCTACTCAGGAGCCTGAGGCAGGAGAATGGCGTGAACCTGGGAGGCGGAGCTTGCAGTGAGCCGAGATCGCACCACTGCACTCCAGACTGGGCGACAGAGCAAGACTCCGTCTCAGAAAAAAAAGAAAAGTGTATTATCATAAAAGTATTTGAAAACAATTTCATTAAAATGTACCCATTTCATTGTACTAACAATAACATGTAATGATCTATGATGATGCAAACACTCTATACTTGTAAAATGATTTAAAATTTCCCACTTGTTAACTGAAGGATGTACGCGGTCTTAGAGACATGTATGTCTCTATTCTTTTAAATCTGAAAGCATTATCTAAAACCCAATCATCATATACCTGTAGGGAAAAAGCCTAACACAGCCATATCCAAAAGTCATAGTCCGTCAGAAGTATGTTAAATGTTATAAAATTACTTGACCTCAGCATTTCTGAGTTTTGGTGTTTTCAATTTATAATATAATAGGTGGTTGGTTTATTTTAACCAAACTTAAAAAGCAATGATGTCTGCAAAGCCTCTGATTGGACCAAAAGTCACCATTTATACTCTGACATTGAGGCCAGGCACGGTAACTCACACCTGTAATCCCAACAATTTGGGAGGCCAAGGTGAGAGGATCACTTTAGCCCAGGAGTTCGAGACCAGCCTGGGCAACATAGCAACACCCCATCTCTACAAAGAATAATTGTAAAAAGAAAAAAAAAATAAGCTGAACGGTGGAGTGGGCCTATAGTCTCAGCTACTTGGGAGGATCAAGGCTACAGTTAGCTGTGATCATGCCACTGCACTCCAGCGTGGGCGACAGAGTGAGACCCTCTCTCTAAAAAGAAAAAAGAAAAAAAATTATGATGTTTTATTCTTTTCTCTCCCTAGGTGTGATAGCAGTGGAGATATTTATTTTGCTTTGCATCACTGCCATAGCCATACGCATCTATCAACAGAGAAAGTTACGCAAAGAAAATGAGTCAAAAGTCTCAAAAAAAGAAGAGTGCTAGGACAGCTCTAAACAGTGAGCTCGATGTGCAAAACGCAGTCCATGAAAACCAGAAAGAGTGAGTCTTCTGATTGGCAGCTGTGGCTGTCTCTATCATCGTGACTGTGGACTTCCCTGCTGTTGCCATCAGGGTGCACACAGCAGGTGCAGTGCTGTCACCTGGCTGAAGATCTGCAGCCTCAGAGCCTCTGGGAGGTCCCTTTCTCCCTCGGTGAAACACAGTCCTCCACATCAATTTCCAAACAATGAATTAGGTATGGCCATTCATCACTGTTCAGTAGTTTCCCCGTCCAAAGGCTCTCTTCCAAAACTGCAGTTTGATCTGTGTTAATAATTGTGGGGTTTTAGATGAGAAAATGACTATAAAGCTGTGGCCCTACTTTATTTTTTAAAAATGACAGAACTTTTGTTCAGATGTAAAAGACAAAATTGCACTTTAATGTTTTTTGTTACTTGAAAACATATCTGGGATCCCTTTTTTTGGTCCTCTGCTGATATTATAAAACAAGAAATGCTTCTTGGACTACCTTCACTGGCATTTCCATAGTCCTGGAATCCAGAGCCAAGTGGCCTATCTAAAATTCACAGCCCTTTTATTCTCCTGTGTGATGGTTAATACAACACAGTTGAAGCCTGGAAACACTACCATTATTTTTGGTGTATTGCTTTTTCTAATTGACTGTTTTTAATGATTTTGATACATTTTAATGTTGAAATTAATATTGAATGTTAGCTATGAAATTTTAGTATTGAATTTTATAATGGAACAGAACATTGGTAGGTAACAAGATGCAAGAGGATGTCAATACAAGATTGTCTGCCTGTTTTTCTTTGTAATTTGTAATTACAGTTTTTGTAACTTGTGATTATGTTTTTAACTAAATTTACCACCAGATACAAACACTACTTCTTACACAGAGTTATCCTTTATTTATATCATTAAGACGTGAATGAAACATCATCCTAACTTACTTCCCCAAGATATTGAGAGGTCATATCTGTTTTTCATCATTCATTTCTTTTTCTAAAAGTTGTTACTGATATGCTTTTGATTTCCTATGACTCTATTATGTTGTACAGAACATCTTTTCAATTTATTAAAAAAAATAGCTTAACTGAAGATCACTAATTCCTTTTCTAAATTTTGAACTGCTCTAGGCATAAATATCATTGTGTATTATCCTTTCATCTAATCACTTTTGGAATGTAAACTGAAGGCTGTTCACTCCAAGTTAAGTTAACATTTACATGATGTTTATTAAATCTGCCAGTCTGATCAAAGGTTTATGACCATGGGGCCAAATTCCCATAGATTACCCAAAATTGAATATGTGCAGTTAACTGGAACATGTCTCATTAAGGTTTACATACACACTAAGACAGCAAAGGATTGGAATTAACTTTATGGAGACAGTTCCAGGGACTAATATTGAAGCAGTGGTTATTTGATAATGCATGGAACCACCATTTGGATTCAATAAACCAATTACATAAAAGCAATGATGCTACGCTCTTCATATTCCAGATACCAACTGCCTACCAAGGACTAATGAGATGGTATATTTCTTCCACATCAGGGCAAGCTGAAAATATATTGATTCAGCGTTACTGTTATGTAAATGAATTTCCATCTTCTCATATGTGTTATTTTTGAAAGAATGAATACACTCTCTGTCTTAAATCCGCTCTTAACAAATGATCTCTTCTCAGAATACTACATCTGTATTGAGAGTACAGACAGCCCATTGGTCACTGCACCTTTTGCAAGACAGCGAAACGGATGCATCAAATTGCATTGATACATCATCACCATCAATCTTTTGCACTGATTTTTAGACTTAATCTTCTTATTTGAAAATAAACTCATTTTTAAATAAAATAAAAAATATTTTAGGGAAAGCTCTATAAAATTAAAATTACAGAATTATATGCTTTTTAAAATTTATGCAAAAATGTGCAGACAAATGTATTCTGTATTGGTTTATGTATCACTTTGCCCTTGTATATTTTGAGATTATTAAGATTTGTTGACTTTTTTGGTTTGATATTTATCATCTGTTAAATTTTTCCTTTTAAATTATTAAATGCAAAGTGCAAGAAAAAGAGATAAATATTTACTGATTGCTAGATGTAAAAATATCTATGAATATATATATTTAAACTTCTGCCAGAGAGCAACCATCTGACAGTCAACTTACTAAAATCTAAATTGAGTACTTTTTACTGTTGCAGAGAATTAAGTCACTAAACGTTATTTAGATATATAGATGCTAGTTGCAAGTAACACCCTTTTGTAATATAAAAGTAAAAGCATAATAATTTCCCAACTTTTGTCTTCAAATTAAAAAAGAAAATAGCATATAATTACCATTCTTCATTTGAGAAAGCTGAAGATTCTGATGCTTAAAAACTTCAGAATTCTAATATTAAAAATAGAGTGGTTCATGTGACATTGAAGGCTTATCTCTGTAAAATAGTGACACTGGTGAGTGGTATTATCTCAATATTTTTGTCCAAATTCACCTTAGGAAGTCACTGTAAATCTTCATTGTTTCCTAAAAGTCATTATTACGGCATAAACTTAACATACTTTGATAGTAGTTAGTACTGATACGTGACATATTCTACCCCGTGTCTCTGTTACTCTGTCTCTATTACTGTGAAAAGTCACAGTAAATTTAACATTTTCTTCCAGACTGTGTATGATCTTTCATTGTAATAGAGACATGGAGTAGGATAAGTCATGTATTAACATATAAGATTTTTTTAACCTGCTCCCTCAGTTTTATAGATGAGACAAAGATAAGGTTGTAAGAGCTAATCTCTTCAAGTAGGCAGTACTAGTAAGTTGTCATGCGTGGACTGAACTCCTGGCACTTCTTTCTCTTAACTTCAATCCATAGAGAAGCCCACCTTCCTGCCTTCCCAGTATTATTTAGCAGAGGAGAAAATCATATTAGGCTGTTTGATACTCTGTTTGCCTAGACTGATCAATAATTCTGGATCTTTGTTCACATCTTCTCTGAAAGAATATTTGATGGGAAATCTTTTTTATTTTTTAATTTTTGTGTACATACTAGGTGCATATATTTATGGAGTACATGAAATGTTTTGATACAGGCATGCACTGTGAAATAAGCACATCATGGAGAATGGGGTATCCATCCCCTCAACATTTATCCTTTGTGTTACAAACAACCTGATTACACTCTGTATTTTAAAATATGCAGTTAAGTTTTTATTGACTATAGTCACCCTATTGTGCTATCATATAGTAAGTTTTACTCATTCTTTCTACTTTTTTTGTACCCATTAACCTATCCCCACCTCTGCCCCACCATTATCTCAGCTGTCTACTACTTTTTTCAGCCTTTACTAACCATCCTTCTACTCTATATCCATGAGTTCCGTTGTTTTGGTTTTTAGATCCCACAAATAAATGAGAACATGGCAATGTTTGTCTTTCTATGCCTGGCCTATTTCACTTAACATAATGACCTCCAGTTCCATCCATGCTGTCGCAAGTGACAGGATCTCATTCTCTTTTATGGCTGAAGAGTACTCCATTTTGTATGTGAACCACATTTTCTTCATTCATCTGTTGATGAACACTTAGGGTGTTTCCAAATCTTAGCTGTTATAAACAGTATTGCAACAAATAAAAGAGTGCAGATGGAAAATTGATTTTGATGGCTTTTTTCTTTAATAAAACATTAATTTCTTCATGTATAACTGGAAGGCAAACAAATGATCCATTTGCTTAGTTTATTCTTGAATCCATAATATAAGTGACAGAAATGGATTATTAAAATATACTTGAATTTGGGGAAGAATGATATGGACACATTTTAAATCAAAACATGATGAATTGGCTGTTTAACCTACTACCTCATTGGCCAATCTGGGGCAAGATGAAAGTATTTGTAAACACTGTTTTGGCAATTATGTGTAAAGAGAGAACCAATTTTTTAATTAAAAAATTGAATTCTAAGAATTACAGAGCTTTTCTATTGGTAAAGACATTAAATATCATAGAGTCCAACGCTTTTCTCTTCCTTCACATCACTCCCAATGGATGTAGCTCAGGCTAAGTTCATTGCTGATGTGTTGTCAGAACAGCCACTAACGGTTTAAGTTGGTATACTTAAGTGCAAATGTAACCTTAAGAAGGTTACATAAAGTTGCCATTACTAAGAGTAGTAGCAGAATTTATTATGGATTAATCATATCGTCGGGAAAATGTACTGAAGCACTACTTCCTGTGGTATTTTTTTTTACAAAATGATAACATAGTTTATTGCCTATAGGTTGATTATGACCTAAAATTATATTTTTGCATTTTATTGTGCCGTTATATATTTTAAAATGTGAGGTTCACATGGTTGCATTTGCTCTGTGAATAAAAATGTCTAAAATGATAAGATGAACTTTTGTATTTTGCGATATGAAAATTTCTAACTTAGCTAGCTTGTGATGGTACCTAAAAATTTAAGAAAGCCCTTAAAATAGAACCTCTGTGACTGCATGAGCACTTTGTATGACTCATATCACATTTTAACTCCTTAAGCAAGCCAATGAGGTAAAACATATAATTGTCCCCATTTTTGCAAAATTCACAAAGGCCTTCACTGCTTTGAGAAAACGTTACACAGATAATTACTGACAAAAATGGGTTAGAATGCAGGTCCTGAGATGTCTAGTTCCTGACCAATTCTACAGGTTGCCTTGCTCCCATAATATGCTCCAATCTACAATGTTCATCTTAATCTGCAGTGAGTAAACATAATTGATAGCTAAATTTACTTCTTGTTCCAAATCTTTAGGATATGATTCATGTGTGTTATATACATACATATATATATGTGTATGTGTGTTTATACTTACATATATTTTTTTTTCTTATTTTACTTCTGGCTAAGATGGAGTAATAGGCAGCATATTTACCCTCTAACCCTCCTGCATGAAACAACCTCAAACCAGACAAAATATATGAAACAATGGTTTTCAGTACACTGGACATGAGGCACGGAATGTAATCCCTGAAAGACAGGAAACATAAGATGTCTGCTGTGAGTATCCCAGCTTACAACTTGACAGAATTTGAGACAGCAGTGACAATGGAGATAGATAGCTTAAGGAAGCCTAGCAAGTCTCTGAATGGAGTAGCTGTTGCTGAGAGTTCAGGTACACGAAGGTGGCTAGAGATTGCAGGATAGAGTACCGGCGAGGAAAGAGCTGCATTGGAGAAAACTTTGCAAATCTGGAGAGGGTCGCCCTTCAGTGTGTAACAAAGTGCATGAAACTACCTGAGGCAAGGGAAAGAAACACTCAAAAGAATTACAGCGGCATTTATCAACCTTTAAAAAATTATTATTGACCTCAAGGAATCTTTTAAAACATCTTTTCTAGTCACCTCTCTATGAATTTTTTAATTTTTATTTTATTTTATTTTATTTTATTTTATTTTATTTTATTTTATTTTAGAGACGGAGTCTTGCTCTGTCGCTCAGGCTGGAGTGCAGTGGCGCGATCCTGGCTCACTGCAAGCTCCGCCTCCAGGTTTCATGCCATTCTCCTGCCTCAGCCTCCCGAGTAGCTGGGACTACAGGCACAAACCAACACGCCCAGCTAATTTTTTTTTTTTTTTTTTTTTGTATTTTTAGTGGAGGCAAGGTTTCACCATGTTAGCCAGGATGGTCTCGATCTCTGGATCTCATGATCTGCCCACCTCAGCCTCCTAAAGCGCTGGTATCACAGGCGTAAGCCACTGCGCCGGGCCTGAAATTTTAATATCGCACATGCACTGCATATCTCTTTAGTACTATATGTATATCTGGGCTTTACACAAAAAGAATATTTTTCTTCTCTTCACTTCTCCCATCCCCCCAAAAAAATCTAATTTCTGTCATTTTGGGGACAATATCACTCTCACTGAGAGTGCATGTTCACATACAACCATGAATAGAGGTGGTTGCCATGGGCTATACCAGAAATCCCCATAATTAATAGGGCATTAGGTAGACTATTCATAGGGGTCTTGCCTCAGTCCTGGCAAGTCCTAGACCACGTATTACTATGGCGGCCCCACTAAACAAATTTTCAAAGATTTGGAAAAAAAGATCAAACCGTTTCCAATAACTAATTGGCATCTCTGAGCAAAGTTCACATGTATTTCCAGTAACATAAAACTATCCAACACCAGGCCGGGCACGGTGGCTCATGCCTGTAATCCCAGCACTTTGGGAGGTCGAGGCAGGCAGATCACGAGGTCGGGAGATGGAGACCATCCTGCTAACAAGGTGGAAACCCCATCTCTACTAAACATACAAAAATTAGCCGGGCGTGGTGGTGGGCGCCTGAAGTCCCAGCTACTCGGGAGGCTGGGGCAGGAGAATGGCGTGAACCCAGGAGGCGGTGTTTGCAGTGGGCCGAGATTGTGCCATTGCACTCCAGCCTGGGCAACAGAGCCAGACTCCATCAAAAAAAAATCCAACACCCAACGAGGTAAAATCACAATGTCTGGTATACAATAAAAAATTACCAAGTGTGTGAAGAGGCAGAAAAATAGGACCTATAATGAGGATAAAAATCAATCTAAAATGACCCAGCACATACACAGATGTTAGAATTACTAATGAAAAATATTATGACTATATTCCGTATTTTCAAAGATTAGGATGTGACAAGAAAAGGCTTAAATTAAACTTCGAGAGATGACAATGTTAATGTATGAGATTAAAAAATACAATGGATGTAATTAATGGCAGATGAGAGTTTTCAGAAGAAAATATTAATAAACTTGAATATATATAGCAGTAGAAAGCATCCAAAATGAAACAGAGACAGAAAAAAAACAAAGAATAATCAGAGTATCGGTGATCTGTGGGACAACTTCAGTTGCCTAATCTGTGTGTATTTGGAGTTCTCAAAGGAGAAAAGAGAGTGGATGGATAGAAAAAAATATTTTTAAAAATTAATAGGTAAGCATTTTCCACATTTGATGCAAACTATAAACCCACAGACCCAGCTCAACATCCCCAAGTAGGGGTGCTATTAAGAAAACCATATCACAACACATCCTAAGCAAATGGATCAAAACTCAGTGTGGTAAAGAGAAAAAGACAAATCTTATACAGAGAAGAAAAACAAGGATGATACCAGACTTCTTTTTGGAAGCAATGCAAGGGGAAGGGCAGTGGAGAAACATCTTTCATGCTTCCAGTGAAACATCTTCCAACCAAAAGCAGAAAACTGTCTCTCCTAGGTTTCTATACCCAGCAAAACCGTCTTTCAAGAAAGGATGAAACAAAGATATTTTTCAGACATAGAAAAGTTAAAAGTAATATATTATCAGCAAACCTGGACTATGAGAACAGTGTAAAAGCCTTTCAGGAAGAAGGAAAATAAAGAATAATATCTTTGTGCAGATAGAAACATGGATCCACACAAAGAAATGAAGAGCACTGGCAATAGTAACACCATAAGTAAATATACAATACCTGCCCTTATTACTTAAATATCTTTTAAAGATAATTGGCTGTTTAGAAATAATAGCAGTGTCATGTGAGTTCTGCAGCATGAGTAAAAGTAAAATATATGACAACAATAACCTAGAGAGACTAAATGGAAATATAGTTTGTAAGGTTCTTAGACTGTGTGTAAAGTTGTATAATGCCTATTAAAAGTTGGCTATTACAAGTTATCTTTAAGTTAAAACATCTGTATGGTGTAATCCCTAAAGCAAATGCTAGAGTAACAAAAACAGTGATAATATTACAATATTACACAATAATATACAATGCAGCGATGAAATAGAATAAATTTTCAAATGCTTGAAAGTAGACAAAAAAGATGAGAAAGAGGACAAAGAACAAATGGGACAAATAGAAAGCAAATAGCAAGATATAATATAAAAATCTGATAAATTTGACCTTAAAATTAACAACTCTCCTTTTAAAATACATTGTTAAGAGAATAAGAGTCAAGCTACAGACTGGGAGAAAATATTTGCAACACTTTATTTGAATGCTGTAAATTTTTTTCAGAATATAGTTCATAAAGAACTCTTAACAACTCAATAATTAGCAAAAATAAAATGAAAATAATGAATATAAGAAAAAATGATGAAAAGTGCTACACCAGTGGACAAAAAGCACACAAAAATGTTCAATATCGTTTTGTCATTAAGGAAATGCAAATTAAAACCACAGTGAGTTATTCTTCCCACTAAAATGGTTATGATTAAAAATATTGTCAGTACCACGTGTTGTTGAGAATATGGAGCAATTATAATTCTCATACATTATTGTTGGAATGTAAAATGCTACAACCACTTAGGAAAAATTGTTTAACATTGTTTTATATAATTAAGCATACATGAAACCTATGACCCAACAATTCCAATCCTAGGTTGAAAAGAAATGAAAACTTATGCCCATTATAAGACTTACACAAGAACGTTTATAGCATCTTTACTTATAATATCCCCAAACTGTAAACTGCCTAAAAGACCTTCAACAAGAAAATGGACAAACAATTTGTGTGGTATTAATAATGAAATACTCTTCAGCTATAAAATGGACAAAACTACTGGTAACTGCAACAAACATGGCTGAATCTAAAAAACCTTGTGTTGAATGAATAAATCTAGACACTATAGGGTACATTCTGAAGTCCTAGAACAAGCGAAACTAAGATATAGCAGTAGAAATTGTATCAGTAGTTACCTGGGTTGAGGTGGGATGGGAGTTGACTGCAGAGAAACACAAGGGAAGTTTCTGGAGTGATGGAAATGTTCTATGTCTTGATCGACTATGGTTACATTGGTGTGGACATTTGTCAAAACTCTGAATTTCATATTTGGAATTTGTATATTTTGTATATAAATTATACTTCAATAAATATGTACATGTATATATATGTGTATATATAATACATTTTGATATGTCATGATGTCTATCACTTCACAGCATATTATATTTCTATCATACCATATTTACATAATGGAAAAAGATGAAAAGGATGCTGTATTTTGGGGAAATCACAAGAGATTATCACCTTTATTTATTTTTTATACAAATACATATAAATCTTTCACAGTACAATACAAATGTCAAAATGTGGTATTTTCATTGTTCTATAAATTCTTATATGTTCTATGTATGTAATAAATGTTAAAAACAGTGTTTATATGTTGTATATGTTTATTTGTTCTATGTGTTTATACGTTCACTGTTCTATAAATTCTCATATATTGTATACTATACAATCAGGTGATGAGCTGCTCAGTAAATAAGTGCTGAACACTCTGCATCCCTCATCACGTCAAGCATTTCACATCCCTTTTCCTGTAGGCTTCCACAGTAGACATTTGACTTGCCAATTACATTTTCATCCATCATTCTGGAGAAGCCTGGAGAAACAGCTAGACACAGGGGACATACTCTATACCTTGCTCATTGTGCCTTGGAATTATACATATTGAAATATTGTAAAGATTTGCTTCATTTGTATCAACATGGCTGTGAAATTAGATGTCAACTCTACCTCACTTCCAACTTTTAGGAGGAATCCAGATAGTTTATTAGAAAATAGAAGTGCAAAAATGTTTGCTGTTTGATTCTCAGACCATAGCCTGAGATTAGCAGTATTAAAAAAAAAATAGCAGACAGAAGAGGCCCAAGTCTCTCCCAGCTCCTGGGATGCATGGAAGCAATGGGCTGTGATGTCCTACTGAGGTAAAAGAAGTAGTGTTTGTTATAGTCCCACGAGCAGAAGCAGTAAGAACTTGAGGTAGGGTGCACCTAAAACTGAGAACAAGGGAAAGAAAGCTGAAGTAGGAAGTGTCACCAGGGAGGGACTATGGGTCCTTACTATGCGAAGAGAGAAAAGGATTTAATTAGGTCCAACAGAATATAATGCCATTTCAAAAACATTTTCTGTTAGGACAGTTTCCAGAGACTCTAAGTGGTTGTTTTTTGTGTGATGATTTTTGAGCTTGGTAGAATTTTTCTAGTCTGACTGGATCAGTTCTAGAAAGCTGCTCAGATGAATATGCAATGAATGCTTTCTCTCTTCACATACTTCTCAGTTAGAAGGAGAATATTTCAGTCCAAAAGGATGCAAGACCTTAGTTATATATGCCACAATCAGATCAGTGATTTTAATTTGCCCACCCTAAAGAAATATGAGTATATACCACTCTAAAGAAATCTGTCATTCTAACATGTCTATCACTTTCTTCAATGATTCCATAGCAAACAGTTAATGAAAAACAACAATAATAGCACATGTATTAATCTTCACCACTTGTAATTTTCCAAGGAATTTAGACAGATCTATTGCAAAAAAATTCATCAATTCTTATGTTCTTTCCAAATAGTTTTTGCACTAAATGATATTATTCAACATTTCTCCATGTCTACCTGTACCTTCAGACCCTCACTAAATCCAATTAACCAAAACCCAAATTGGTTAGTGATGTTAAGCATTTTATGTCTTATATGTCTTCTTTTTATTTTATGCTTATATGTCTTCTTTTGAGAAACATCTGTTCATGTCCTTTGCCCAGTTTTTAATGGGATTTTTTTCTTACTGAGTTGTTTGAGTTCTTTATTAAAAAAATGCTCAGTATCACGAATCATCGGAGAAATGCAAATCAAAACCAAAATGAGATATCATATTACACTAGTCAAGATGGCTATTACTAAAAAGTCATAAACAACAGATGTTGACAAGGATGTGGAGACAAAGGAACTCTTATACACTGTTGGTGGAACTATAAATTAGTAAAAACTCTAAGGAAAACAGTATGGAGATTTCTCTAAGAACTAAAAATGGAACTACCATTCGACCCAGCAGTCCCACTACTGGGCATCTACCCAAAGGAAAAGAAATCATTATATTAAAAAGACGCCCACACTTGTATGTTTATTGCGGCACTATTCACAATAGCAAAGTCATGGAATCAATCTAAGTGTTGCTTGGATAAAGAAAACTTGTGGTAAATATACACTATGGAATACTATGCAGCCATAAAAAGAATAAAATCATGTCCTTTTCAGCAACATGGATGGAGCTGAAAGCCATTATTCTAAGTGAAGTAACTCAGAAAATTAAATACTGCATGTTCCCACTTACAAGTGGGACCTAAACAAAGAATACACGTGGACATAAAGATGGAAATAACAGACATAAAATAGGCCTTTTTCGGCCGGGCGCGGTGGCTCAAGCTTGTAATCCCACCACTTTGGGAGGCCGAGGCAGGTGGATCACGAGGTCAGGATATCGAGACCATCCTGGCTAACACGGTGAAACACTGTCTCTACTAAAAATACAAAAAAAAAAAAAAAATAATAATCAGCCTGGCGTGGTGGCGGGCTCCTGTAGTCCCAGCTACTCGGGAGGCTGAGGCAGGAGAATGGCGTGAACCCCGGAGGCGGAGCTTGCAGTGAGCAGAGATCGCGCCACTGCAGTCCAGCCTGGGCGACAGAGCGAGACTCCGTCTCAAAAAAAAAAAAAAATAGGCCTTTTTCTTTAACCAATACAACATCACTATTTCTACTGCAAGTGTTTCAAAAACATCTGTGCTATTTTGAAATATACCAAGTTTAAAACTGTCACAAGAAAAATGTCTTTGCGGCCGGGCGTGGTGGGTCACACCTGTAATCCCAGCACTTTGGGAGGCCGAGGCGAGCGGATCACTAGGTCAGGAGATCGAGACCATCCTGGCTAACATGGTGAAACCCCGTCTCTACTAAAAATACAAAAAAAAAAAAAAAATTAGCCGGGCGGGGTGATGGGCGCCTGTAGTCCCAGCTACTCGGGAGGCTGAGGCAGGAGAATGGCGTGAACCCTGGAGGCGGAGCTTGCAGTGAGCCAGGATCACGCCACTGCACTCCAGCCTGGGCGACAGAGCGAGACTCCGTCTCAAAAAAAGAAAGAAAGAAAGAAAAGAAAGAAAGAAAGAAAAGAAAGAAAGATGTCTTTGCTATCTTTCCCAGGTCTCCAGCTGCCTCCACACTGGCGTAAGAAACACTGGAGGAAAAATGACCGCCTCACAGTAGTTTAAGCTGTTCTTTTGCCCATAGATGTACACATTTAAACTTGCTCCTAGCTCTCCAAGATTGCTTATTCGCTGATATGTTGCAATGACAACAAAATACAACTTCTGTTTGATTAAAAATAAAAGCAAGTAAAACATGTTTTTCCTCACTGGGTTCTGAGTTGATTAAATCCAGCTTATCATTGATGTTTTAAAATTGAGGTTATATTATATAGTTTAATTTTCAAAAGAGACTTTGATATATGGAAAATGTAAGCCAAGGAAAATAAAAATATGAAAATTCAGAAATACCATTGCTAGCTCATCACATATGTTTATTTAAATTTGGTTAGTATGCTGGAGAGAATTTGGGATTGAATTCAATTCTTTGTGCTATATACAAAATAAATTTACTAGCAGTTAGATGGAATTGGCTTAGAAACCTAATCCTATATGTAAATATTATAAAAATTTTTAATTCCAAAGTAGTTCAATAAAAAGAACTGGGCTTTGAAATCAACATGCTGGATAAATAGACAACTACTGTAGTTAATTCTAAATAAGCATCCTTACAGCAAAGAGATACACATTTTTACAAGGCTCTTTCTCTCAACTTTGGAAATAACAAGTATCTTTAAATTGCCATTGTCAGTATCTCTTCAGTAGATGCCCCTTGGCAGGGTGTGCTCTGCACTTCTCCGCTGTGATTATGTCTAGAGGAATTGCATCAGGATGGACAAGAATGGTTGTGTGGAAAAAGAATTTAGATTTGCTGTGAAAAATGGACTCCACAATGGATCTTCTGGGTTGATTAGTTAAGCAATTGAAACACGAAACCCAGTGATTTGAAATAACAAAACAAATTGCCTAATTTAGAAATATAATGAAAACACATATATTATTCAAAGACATGTTGCAACAATAGATGGCTAGCTGATGACTAGTTTTTAGTATTTGTAATATAGGGTGTATGTAATTTCTTTTTGAATTTAGCAAAATCCCAGCTTTTTTATATGGTATCTGAGTAAGGAAGATAAACATCTTTTTTTTTTGAAATGGAGTCTCGCTCTGTCACCCAGGCTGGAGTGCAGTGGCGTGATCTTGGCTCACTGCAATCTCCACCTCCCAGGTTCAAGCAACTCTCCTGCCTCAGCCTCCCAAGTAGCTGGGATATCTGTATTGGCCAGGCTGGCCTCAAACTCCTGACCTCGTTATCCACCCGCCTCAGCCTCCCAAAGTGCTGGGACCACAGGCGTGAGCCACTGCGCCCGGCCAACATCTTTTTATAGTTTCTGATTTCCAATGTACAATTAAACTCTTGGCTATTAGGAGCATCTATACATCCCCCAACTCAGAGTAACCACTTTAGCTATTCTTAGCCAATGAAGCCAAAGAACACAGAAGACTGTGCTCCTGTTCTAGTTCTTTTATGTACCTTGTTTTAAGTCTTCCTTGTTCCCCGCTCCCTCTCACCATAAGGACGTGGCTCTGCTGACTTTTCTCTTTAAAACTCTCTATCCTACCCTGCTCCATTCACCTCTTTTATACTAATTAAAGCCTCCTCTTCCTTCTGATCTCAGCTTAAGAGACACTGTCTTGAGGCACCCTTCGTTAGCCTTCCAAATCTGGCTCTTTCATAAAACCATCCTACAGATCATTGTTCTTTTTCATCAGCATGGTTGTCTCAATTTGATGACTGATGTGATGATGTGACGGGTGCATGTCTTCAGTGAACTGTCGGAAAGCGGAGCTCGTGTGCACTGCAGAGTGTATTCCTGTGAGTGTATTCCTGTTCCCTTCCAGGTGCGTGTGGATGACCCAGCAGCCAGGTCCAGCACTGGCCTAAGGCTCCAAACTTCTACAGTTAGAAAATTGGCAAAGATACTGATTTAACTTTGGCGCGTTTGTTAGGCTTCTTCTTCTTCTCTCTCTTTTTTTTTTTTTTTTTTTTTGGATAACACTTTAAATAACATATGATAGAAAATGAGAAGAGTTTATGGAAAATAATTTTATTAGTGTTTGTGTCCCTTAATGACTTAAGCCCTAAGTAGAGACTTCATAATTTCAAACTTTCAAAAATGTCTTGTAACATGCAGTAAAATGTGTCTTATTCGTGAGAGTAATGTCTATTCTAGGCAACTGTTCTCAGTTTCCATGGACAGAGGAAAAATTAGACGTACATATGTTTTATGGGGAGGAATTTGGACTAAACATAAGAAAGAATTACCTGGCCAGGAAGTTGTTGTTCACTATTACATTAACTCATTTTACAGGAATAAAGGAAATAACATGATTTAGGAGGAATGTAACCCAGAAAGAGATAATGAATCAGAAGCCCTCCAAATTTCCTTTGAGATTTGTTTAGCATATGATTATGAGATTTGGTGAAAGTATGTCATTCCCAGTAAGTAGGTGTAATTTAAAATATGTAAGAAGTTCTACATATGTGCTTGGTAATTTTAAGGGTTATTGTATATAATCATTACTGAGATCACTACACAGCTATGTCCTGCCAGTAATCCAAAAAGAAAAATCATTCTAGTTGTCATCAATTATATAAGATAATAAAAATAAACTTAAAGTCTTAGGCAATATTTTAGATATTGCTCAGAAGTACATTTCTTTGTGTTATAATTAATGACCTTCTATGTGTGATTATTCAGATTATTGAAAGTCTTAGTATTAATCATTCATAATAATTAATTTTAAATATTTGAGTAGTCAGTTCTAAAATAATTGAAATCATTAAAACCTGAATGTTATTCAATCAACATGACTTAGAAATAAAATAATATTATTAAAATAAGGAATTAAAGACTATAAATTTAGACAATGGGGAAATTAACAGAAACACTTCATGTCTTTGCCTTTATTTGGTAAAGGATAGACTCTTTCATCCAATAACTTTTTTAATTACCATAATTTTGAAAATGTGGGACTTTTTCTTACATCTTACACAGTATGTTGCTTGTCTGGCAAATTGAACACGTGGAGAAAAGAAATATCTTTGTCAAAATGAGCGCTTTATGTAGGACACTTTACATTATATTATAAAAATATATTAATAAATAGGTCCATAGTCTGTAGAATATATAATAAATATTCTGAATTAGTTCTTAAGACTAATGAACTTCTTTTGTCCTAATTTTTTTTTTTTTTTTTTGAGACGGAGTCTCGTTCTGTCACCCAGGCTGGAGTGCAGTGGCCTGATCCTGGCTCACTGCAAGCTCTGCCTCCCGGGTTCATGCCATTCTCCTGCCTCAGCCTCCCAAGTAGCTGGGACTACAGGTGCCCGATGCCACGCCCAGCTAATTTTTTGTATTTATAGTAGAGATGGGATTTCACCATGTTAGCCAGGATGGCCTCGATCTCCTGACCTCGTGATCCACCAGCCTCGGCCTCCCAAAGTGATGGGATTACAGGCGTGAGCCAACGTGCCCGGCCTTGTCCTAATATTTTTATCTGGCAGATGCTATACTTAACACAGCATTGGATTCTTAATGCCATTTGCAATCTAAAATAATAACACCAAACCCCAGTTTTGAGGTGAAATTCGTATAAATGAAGGTATATGGAATATTTGAAATATAACTGCTAATTTCAGCTTATTATTAATTATATATAGTTATTTTAAAGAAGAGCTGAGACTAATAATTTATCATCTCAACTAAGATGAAGGATGTTTTAAATTCTGCTACCACCAAAGTAAAGTTTTCTGATTTGCCATCTTCGACTAGGCTCCTCCTTGTCTTCAAATTATACCCATTATGATAGTCCCCTTGTGGAAAGGGACTGGATTTTACTTTCTCTAAATTGCTAACATCTAGACAGTGGTGTACCACATTTAAATAGCATTCAGTAAATAGATAAATACATGCATTAATAAAACATTAATATGTCTCCATTTTTGGCAAATATCTAATAGAAATGTGGAAGATAAGAGGAAGAAATCTACCCTTTGGAACAAATATAATTGGAAATAATAGTCTTTGGATATATTTATATGGTAATCATAAAATCTCAGGAATTGTCTTAAATGATTTGCATAGATTAAGTCAGTAAATCCTCACAGCAACTTTGTGAAGTGAGTTCCTAATATTCCCATTTTATAAATGAACAGACTGAAGCAGAATTAGTTTAAATAACTTCCCTAGGGTCATTTGTAATCAAACAATCAATGGGCTTGCTACCCGATGTGCATAGAGGCCAATACCATGGCACAGGCTTGAGAAAAGAGAAGCTGTATTGCTGGTTGACTGTCAAGAGACAGGAGAAAATGCTCAAATCTGTCTCCCTGAGCTGGGGGCTGAGTTGGGTTTTATAGGAATAGGGTAATGAAGTGTTATCTGATTGGGTCTTGTGATGAGATGATGCTGGGAGGCATGATCTGACTGAATCCTGCCATGGGGTACCACAAGGGCTCCATTTGATTGGATCCTGTATCTTGCCATGCAGTGTCCCCTTTTTAATCCAGTCCCACTTCTTGGGCTGAGCACTTAAGTCCCGCCCATCATTGCAAGTTTGGTTCATTTGGGCATGTTCAGGTTATGGGAACTTCAGCCTGGGAGTCCATGGCAACTGAAAAACTATTCATAACTTTTTTACATAAAAGTTGAAGAACCAGACTGGTTTTGTGTGGTTACACATTCACTTAATAAATGACTGAGCTGGAATTTGAACTCAGGCAGTCTGGCTCTTGTCTGACTCCAGCGCCCAATCTCTTAGCCAATATGCACTATTGCCTGTGATAGAGATATTATTTTTGGTTATTGGGATAATGACAGCCAAGGGAATCTATAGAGTATTATTCCACAAAAATAATTCTAAATACGGCCAGGTACGGTGGCTCACGCCTGTAATCCCAGCACTTTAGGAGGCCGAGGCGGGTGGATCATGAGGTCAGGAGATCAAGACCATCCTGGCTAACACTGTGAAACCCTGTCTCTACTAAAAATACAAAAAATTAGCCGGGTGTGGTGGTGGGCACCTGTAGTCTCAGCTACTTGGGAGGCTGAGGCAGAAGAATGGCGTGAACCCAGGAGGCGGAGCTTGCAGTGAGTGGAGATCGCGCCACTGCATTCCAGCCTGGGCGACAGAGGGAGACTCCGTCTCAAAAAATAATAATAATAATAGTTCTAAACACATTAAATTTCTCTATAGGATAACTTATTATTTTCTTAATGCTTGACATAATTTATGCCGAATAAGCTCAGTGGTTAAGCAAAAATATTCAGATATTAAGAAATATCATAAATCATTTAATGCTGTATTAAATACATATAATTTAATTGTCCAAAAGTATTTTCCTGAGTGAAAAAATGATGGTGCAAATTTTGGATATTATAAGACAACTTGAAGAAGAGTAGAGTGCAGAAAGAAGTTATATTTTAGGTGGGCTAGAATAACATAACATTTATGCAATAGCCCCAATTTGTGATATAACACTTCATAAAAATGTTCAACAGTTTACAAGTGCTTTATCTGAAAACAATGGAGAATTAATAGCATAAACTGGGAAACTTACTTTATGATTAACAAAGTTTTTTTAATGAAAATGATTAAAAGTAGACTAAATTGTTTTAAGTATTTCTTTTTCATTCAGCATTCAATTGCCAAGTCATTTCATTCACAGTTTTTAAGGATGTTCTGAAAATTCTGGCATAAGACCCAGGAGATGAAATTATTTGCCAAATGTTGATGTATTATGGGAAAAAATGACTCTGTTTACAACTGTAGCCATGTGAAAATTAAAGTTATTTAATCCCAATTTCAATTAGCCAATTATGAGACAAAAGCAAAGAACTAGTGAAATACTACAAAACACTTTTTTGATATATTATACAATTAAGTTATCATTTTGCACCAATGGATAAGAATAGGGTTGCCATAGGGGTTCATCCTAATGCTAGGAAGCAGACCATAAAATCTAAAATTACTGGTAGAATTTATAGAGAATAGACTCTGACATTAAGATGTAACACAATTTAATTGAGTAGCACAAATATAATTGTCTTGCCTCATGGCTAAGTATCTCTGTAGAACTGCAATTTTAAAAAATGAAACCCAGCCAACAAAGGCAAGTAAAAAGTCCATAAGAATTATGAACTCTGTCAAAGTGAATACAATAGAAGACTCTCAGTCATAATTCTTTAAATCCTTCTAATTCCTTGATATTCAATATCTTTAATTGCCATAAGGCCCTGAGGTTGCTCCCTCTTAGCTATTAAGCTGACCTCCTACTAATATGTAGCTCTTTGCTGCTTCTCCCTCTTGGTCTTTATTTTCTACAAGCTGACCTCTCAGCCCTTTTCAAATGAAAATTGACCCATTGATCCTATGCTCTTAGAAAACCTTCATGTACTTCAACCCCTTCTCCTGGTCCTATATATCAAAAGGCCAAGTTCTAGGGGTCTGTAGTCTCTAATAGTGTGATGATATGGCTACCCTGAGAAGCAACATCTCATCCAGGAAACCCTGATCAGCATTTTTCTCTGCAAGTGGCGTCGCAGGATTGTGAATTGTAAACAGATAAAAGGATTCTTAGTGGTACCTCTGTCAAGCTCATTACACATTCCAGAATCAATCAAGTCTCCTGCTAGCATTTGAAGAATATCACCAAAAAATTGGTAGCTGCGTTGTTTCCTTTGGACATGCAAGTAGATAACTATCAGTAACTACCAATAATAACAGCCAGTCAGCTCAGGCTGCTGTAATAAAATAGCATAGATTGGGCCGGGCGCGGTGGCCGGGCGCGGTGGCTCACACATGTAATCCCAGCACTTTTGGAGGCCCTGGCGGGCAGATCACGAGGTCAGGAGATCAAGACCATCCTGGCTAACACGGTGAAACCCGGTCTCTACTAAAAAAAATACAAAAAAAATTAGCCGGGCGTGGTGGCGGGCACCTGTAGTCCCAGCTACTCAGGAGGCTGAGGCAGGAGAATGGCGTGAACCTGGGAGGCGGAGCTTACAGTGAGCTGAGATCGCACCACTGCACTCCAGCCTGGATGACAGAGCAGAACTATGTCTCAAAAAAAAAAAGAAAAAGAAAAAGAAAAAGAAAAAATAGCATAGATTGGATGGCTTAAACCACAGACATTTATATCTCACAGTTCTGGAGGCAGAGAAGCCTACAATCAAGGTGCTAGTTCATGATCAGGCCTGGCCCCTCGCTTGTGGTCAGCCTCCTTCCCATTGGGCGTCACGTGGCCTTCCCTGAGTGTGTGGGGGATGGCAAGCGATAAGAAGATCTCTGGCTCCTCATCCTATAAGGACACTAATCTCCTCATGAGGGCCTCCTTCCAGGATCTAACCTAAACCTCATGACCTGTCAGAGGCCCCATCGCCAAATACCATCATATTAGTGGCTAGGGTTTCAACTTAGGAGTTTTAGAGGGACACAGCGTTCGGCTCATAACAAACTGTAAGTACAGTCAGCTTCACTAGATCACATTTTCTATTTTGAGAGCCCATTTTGAAAATTTTAAAAGCTTTGAGATTTTGAATATGATCAAAAGTACTGAGAACAAAGAAAATTCATTTGGAAAGACAATTGGTAGTCTGCTCACAAATGAATAATCTGGGACACTTAATAATATATCTGAGTTTTGTTCTACGTTAATGAATAATGTAGGTCCTGGCATCATGGAGAATAATTGCACTTTGCTTCTGCAAACTCCTAATAAGTGTTCTGCCAACAGGCAGGAAAGTAGGGTTTTCTACCGCAATGAAATCTGCAGCTTTATGTCTTTAATCCCTGTGGTTTCATAGGAAGGCAGTTCTTTCTATAGGATAAAACTTGAAGAACATGACTGCATTCAGATTTAAGACAAAAAAAAAAACCTAAAATGGAAAGAGTATTAAAACTATGTCAAAGCATATGATATTGATGCCTCAGTGTTCCCCAGTGTTCCTGAGTTCAACAGAAAGTTCTAGTAAGGTTGACAGATTTCCATCTCAAGAGTCTGCCTTGTCACTCTTCCCAGGGAAGAGTTTTGCATAGAAGATTGGACACATGCAAAAACAACCCAGAATTACATGTGTGTGGCAGGAAGAGGGGACAATGTCCCTGGAGGTTACATCCAACAAATGCAGGATAGCAATCAGTGGACAGGAAGATTCTGAGACACGTTCCATGGGCTGTCTCAGAGAGTCCCCAGAGGGATTAGCTACATAGCAAATAATACCCCACAGTGGTGACTTTTCACATTTTAATTTGCCAATGCGTTTATTGAATCCTTTTATCTGTGTCCTCCTAATATGCTCTGGGAAAGAGGTTGAGGTTGCAAATCCCCACAACCCCGTTTGAGTTTTTGATGGAACAGCTGCTGTCCACTTCTGATCAACTGAGGCCCTAGAAAAGGCATGTAAGTCCTACTCCCTCACACTTCTGTAGTGTCACGTGTATTTGTCCTTATAAACCTGAATCAATCTGGAAATTCATTGCCAAACATAAGGGTTCCAGGAAGTCTAACTTTATCAAAAGGACTTTAATGAAATTAATAAAAAGTAGAAACTTTTAAAAATATTGATCTGTAAACTGCTTAGGACAAAATATGTATAAAACTAAACTGAACTATTAAACTTTACATTAAAATCTAGGGAGTAATAAACATCATTTACTATTTAATTTCTCAAATGGAAGTGACATATTGTCATTGATTCGCAACAGTGAGTGTGGTATCAGAATCGTTTCTGGAATCTTTTCAAACTATACCTCCCTGCTGGAAATTCTGTTATATCCTCAAGTTGTGTTTCAGAAGGCAGAAACTATTTCCACAGTGAGGCACTATTTCGGATATATCATCCCTCAAGAGGAATATGTACAGGGAAAAGAGAATATGTACACTTGATAATGAATATATGTTGTCTGATTTAAAAAGTGTGCAGGTTATTAAGTTGGTAAGTTAAAGATAATATATTTATCCATTATTTAATATGTTAGTAAAGGTAATTATTTCAAAATTAGAGTTAAAAAGTTTAAATTTATCACCTATTTGAGTATGTTTAACATACACACACACACATGTATATGTATATATATAATTATATCAAGATTAACAGCTTATAAAAATCATTTCAAAATTTTGGTCTTCAAATATAAGTTGTGTGTTTTGGTCAGGATCTTCAATCATTTATGGCAAAGGTTTCTCACTTCTAAGACTTCCTCTTGCTTTGTTTGTTTAAAGTATCATCACCTATAATAGGTATCCAAAACTAATGTCTAACTTTTGCTGTAATTCCTAGTTTTCTCTAAAATTCTGGGTCTTCCTTTTTCCTTTTCTTTTGTTTTCTTTTCTTCTTTTCTCTTCTCTTCTTTTTCTTCCTGTCTCCCATTCTTCTTTTTTTTGTTGTTGTTTTTGTTTTATAAATTTAAGTTATGAATTTATGGGAATAAAGCTGTTAAATGTTGTTCGTATCTAAAGGTCTTTGGGGTTTCTCAGATAGCTACTGGATAATGCTCTACTCACATTATTCAAGAAGAAATTTGTAAAGTAATTAGATATGTTTGATACTGTCTATATTCTGATTATCTCAACCACTGTATGAGGTCACTAGATCCCATGCCCCAGAGCCTCTGTGCTGTGATTTAGATGCCCAAAAGACTGTGTGTTTGTTAAGCGAACATTACAACAACCCCCAAGTTAGGCACTCCTTTTTTTTTTTCTAATTCTTCCAACTTTTATTTTAGGTTCAGGGGGTATATATGCAGGTTTGATACATGGGGAAATTGTGTGTCATGGGGGTTTGATGTGCATATTATTTCATCACTGGAGCAATAAACATAGTACCTGATAAGTAGTTTCTCAATCCTCACCCTACTTTCACCTTCCGCCCTCAAATAGGTCCTGCTATGTCTTGTCCCCTGCTGTGTGTCCATGCATAATCAATGTTTAGCTTCCACTTATAAGTGATAACATTTGGTATTTGGTTTTCTGTTGCTGTGTTAATTCACTTAGGATAATGGCCTCTAGCTGCATTCATGTTGCTGCAAAGAACATGATTTCATTCTTTTTTATGGCTGCGTAGTATTCCATGGTGTATATGTACCATGTTTTCAACTGCTGTTGGTCATTTAGGTTGTTTCCATGTCTTTGCTATTGTGAATAGTGCTGCAGTGAACATAGATGAGTGTGTATCTTTATGACAGAATGACTTACAGTTCTTGAGGTACATACCCAGTAATGGGATTGCTGGATAGAATGGTAGCTCTGTTTTAAGTTCTTTGATAAATTGTCAAACTGTTTTCTACAGTGGCTGAACTAATTTACATTCCCACCAGCAGTATGTAAGTGTTCCTTTCCTGCACGACCTTGCCAGCATCTGTTATTTTCTGACTTTTTAGTAATAGCCATTCTGACTGACGTGAGACGGCATCTCATCGTGGTTTTGTATTTCTCTAATGATTACTGATGTAGAGCGTTTTCTTCATATGCTTGTTGGCCATGTGTATGTCTTCTTCAGAAAAGTGTCTGTTCACGTCTTTTGCCCACTATTTAATGGAGTTGTTTGGTTTTGGCTTGTACATTTGTTTAAGATCCTTATAGATTCTCGGTATTAGACCTTTGTTAGGTTCACAGTTTGCAAATATTTTCTCTCATTCTGCAGGTTGCCTGTTTATTCTGATGTTAGTTTCTTTTTCTGTTCAGAAACTCTTTAGTTTAATTAGGTCCCATTTGTCAATTTTTGTTTTTGTTACAATGGTTTTTGGCATCTTAATCATGAAATCTTTGTCAGGCCTATGTCCAGAATGGTAGTTCCTAGGTTTTCTTCTGGGGTTTTCATAGTTTTAGGTTTTACATGTAAGTCTTTAATTCATCTTGAGTTGATTTTTTTATATAGGGTAAGGAAGGAGTCCAGTTTCAATCTTCTGCATATGGGTAGCCAATTATCCCAGAACAATTTATTGAATAGGGAGTCTTTTCCACACTTCTTGCTTTTGTCAACTTTGTTGAAGATCAGATAGTTTTACATGTGTGGCTTTATTTCTGGGTTTTCTATTCTGCTACGTTGGTATATGTGTCTGTTTCTGTACCAGTGTCAAGTTGTTTTTGTTACTTTAGCTTGATAGTATCATTTGAAGTTGGGAAATGTGATGCCCCCGGCTTTTTTCTTTCTGCTTAGGATTGCCTTGGGCTCTTTTTTGGTTCCATATGAATTTTAGAATAGTTTTTCCTAGTTCCCTGAAGAATGCCTTTGGAAGCTTGATAGAAATAGTAATTAATCTGTAAATTGCCTTGGGCAGTATGGCCATTCTAACAAAGGTGATTCTTCCTATCCATTAGCATGGAATGTTTTCATATTTGTGTCCTCTCTGATTTTTTTCAGCAACGTTTTTAATTCTTGTTATAGAGATCTTTCACCTCCCTGGTTAGCTGTATTCCTAGGTAATTTTTGGTGTGAGTATTGTAAATGTGATTGCAATCTTGATTTGCCTCTCACCTTGGATGTTGTTGGTATGTAGAAATGCTACAGATTTTTGTGGAATGATTTTGTATCCTGAAATTTTGCTGAAGTTGTATATCAGATCAATGAGCTATTGGGCAGAGACTATGGGTTTTTCTAGGTGTAAAATCATATCATCTGCAAAGAGAGATAGTTTGACTTCCTGTCTTCCTATTTGAATGCTATTTAATTAATCCTATTTAATTGCTTTGGCTAAGACTTCCAGGACTGTGCAGAATAGGTGTGATGTGAGTGGGCCACCTTGTCTTCTTTCAGTTCTCAAGGGAAATGCCTCCACCTTTTGCTTGTTCAGTATGATGTTGGCTGTAGGTTTGTCATAGATAGCTCTTAAATTTTGAGTTATGTTTCTTCAATATCTAGTTTGTTGAGGGTTTTTAACATGACGGACTGTTGAATTTTATCAAAAGCCTTTTCTGTGTCTGTTGAGATGATCATACAGTTTCTGTTTTCAGTTCTGTTTATGTGATGAATCACATTTATTGATTTGCATATGTTGAACCAGCGTTGTACCCAAGAAATAAAGGCTGCTTGATTGTGGTAGATTAGCTTTTTGATGTGCTGCTGGACTTGATTTGCTAGAATTTTGTTGAGGATTTTTGCATCTGTAGTTCAACATGGATATTGGCCTGAAGTTTTCTTTTTTTGTTGTGTCTCTGCCAGGTTTCAGTGTCAGAATGATGCTGGCCTAATAAATGAGTTAGAGAGAAGTTCTTCCTTCTCAATTTTTGGGAGTAATTTCAGCAGGAATGGTACCAGTCTTCTTTGTACATCTGCCTGAATTTGGCTGTGAATTTGTCTGATCCAGGGATTTTTCTGGTTGGCAGACTTTTTATCACTGATTCAATTTTGGACCTTGTTATTGGTCTTTCAGGGTTCAATTTCATCCTGGCTCAATCTTGGGAGGCTGCATGATTTCAGGAATTTATCCATTTCTTTTAGGTTTTCTAGTTTATGTGCATACAGGTGTTTGCAGTAGTCTCTGAGAGTTGTTTGTATTTCTGTGGAGTCAGTGGTAATGCCCTCTTTGTCATTTCTGACTGTGTTTATTTGAATCTTTTCCCTTTTTTCTTTATTATTCTAGCTATGGGGCTATCAATCTTATTTATTATTTCAAGTAACCAACTGTTGGTTGCATTGATCTTTGTATGATTTTATTCACATCTGAATTTCATTCATTTCAGACCTGATTTTGCTCATTTCTTTTCTTCTACTAGCTTTGGTATTGGTTTGCTCTTATTTTTCTAGTTCCACTAGGTGTGATGTTAGGTTTTAATCTGAGATCTTACTAACTTTTTAATGTGGGCATTCAGCACTATAAACTTTCCTCTTAACATTACTTTAGCTGGGGCCAGGCGCGGTGGCTCAAACCCGTAATCCCAGCACTTTGGGAGGCCGAGGCAGGCAGATCACAAGGTCAGGAGATCGAGACCATCCTGGCTAACATGGTGAATACAAAAATACAAAAAAATTAGCCGGGTGTGGTGGCGGGTGCCTGTGGTCCCAGCGATTCGGGAGGCTGAGGCAGGATAATGGCATGAACCCAGGAGGTGGAGCTTGCAGTGAGAAGAGATGGCGCCACTGCACTCCAGCGAGACTCCGTCTCAAAAAAAAAAAAATTACTTTAGCTGATTCACAGAGATTCTGGAATATTGTATCTTTGTTTTCGTTAGTTTCAAGGAGTTTCTTGACTTCTGTCTTCGTTTCATTGTTTACCCAAAAGTCATTCAGGAGCAGATTGTTTAATTTTCATGTAATTTTATGGTTTTAAGATATTGTCTTCATATTGATTTTTACTTTTATTGCACTGTGGTCCAAGAGTGTGGTTGGTATGATTTTGGTTTTTTTTTAATTTGTTGAGAATTGTTTTATGGTTAATCATGCGGGAAGTTTTTTAGTAAGGGCCATGTGCAGATGAAAAAATATATATAGTCTGCTGTTGAGTGGAGCATTCTGGAAATGTCTGTTAGGTCCATTTGATCAAGTGTTGAGTTCAGGTCATGAATATCTTTGTTTTCTGCCTTGATGATCTGTTTAATACTGTCAATGAGGTGTTGAAGTCTCCCACTATTATTGTGTGGTTATCTAAGTTTTTTCGTAGGTCTCTAAGAATTTGTTTTATCAATCTGAGTGCTCAGTATTGGGTGCGTTTATATTTAGGATTGTTAAGTCTTCTTGTTGAATTGAACTCTTTATCATTATGTGATGCCTTTCTTTGTCTTCTTTTTGGTTGTTATTGGTATAAACTCTGTTTTATCTGAAATTAGAATAGCAACCTTGCTTGTTTTTGCTTTATATTTGCTTGATAGATTTTTCTTTATTCTTTTACTTTGAGCCTATGGGTGTCATTGCATGTGAGATGGGTCTCTTGAAAACTGCATGTCATTGGGTCTTGCTTTATTCAATTGCCACTCTGTGCCTTTTAAGTGTGGCCTTTAGCCCTTTTACATTTAAGGTTAATATTGATATGTGCGGATTTGATCCTGTCATCATGTTGGTAGTTGGTTGTTATGCAGACTGGATTACATAGTTGCTTTATGTCGGTGGTCTATGTACTTAAGTGTGTTTTTGTGGTTGCTGGTAATAGTCTTCTGTTCCCATGTTTAGCACACCCTTAAGGATCTCTTGTAAGGTAAGTCTGATGGTAGTGAATTCCCTTAGCATTTGTTTGTCTGAAAAGGATCTTATTCCTCCTTTGATTATAAAGCTTACTTTGGCTGGATATGAAATTCTTGATTAGAATTTCTTTTTTTTAAGAATGCTGAATATAGGCCCCCTATCTCTTCTGGCTTGTATAGTTCCTGCTGAAAGGTCTGCTGTTAGCCTGATGGGCTTCCTTTTTAAGTGACCTACCCCTTCTCTCTAGTTGTCTTTATTATTTTTTCTTTCAGGTTGACCTTGGAGAATCTAATAAATATGTGTCTTGGGGGCACTTCTTGGACATCTTGTGTAGTATCTCAAGGGGTTCTTTGCATTTCCCGAATTTGAATGTTGAGCTCTTTAGCAAAGTTGGGGAAATTTTCATGGACAGTTATCATCAAATATGTTTTCCAACTTGCTTGCTCTCTCTTCCTCTCTTTCAGGGATGCCAATGAGCCACAGAATTGGTCTCTTTACATAATCCCATATTTCTCTGAAGTTGTGTTTATGCTTTTTTGTTCATTTTTGCCTGATTGAGTTGATTCAAAGATCTGGTCTTCAAGTTCTGAGATTCTTTCCTCAGCTTGGTCTATTCTGCTGTTAACATTTCTGATTGTATTATGCAATTCTTGTAGTGAGTTTTTCAGCTCTATCAGATGGGTTTCATTCTCAGAATGGTGATTTTGTCGTTCACTTCTCGCATCATTTAAATAAATTCCTTAGATTCCTTTGTGTTTCAACTTACTCCTGAAACTTGGTAATCTTTGTTCCTATCCCAATGCTGAATTCCATGACTGTCATTTCAGCCTGATTAAGAACCACTGCTGGGTCATTTGGAGGCAAGAAGACATTCTGTTTTTTTGAGCTGTCAGAGTTCCTGTACTGGTTCTTTCTCTTCTGTGTGGGCTGATGTTCCTTTAATGTTTGAAGTTGCTGTCCTTTGGATGGGGATTTTCACTTGTATATTCTTTGATTCCCTTGGGGGTTGACTATGGTATAAAGTGAGTTAAGTGAACTGGTTTCATCTCTGGAAATTTTCAGGGGGCCAAAGCTCAGCTCAGCACTCCTGGGCTGTGTACTCTTACCCTGGAAGGTGGTACTAGGCCTCCAGCTTTGTTCTCTGGCCCCTCCAGGTTAAGCACCTGTTGCAGGAGGTGCTTGGAGGAGCCAAGGTGTTCCCAGTCCACTGGCAACAAGACTCTGATGGGGAGTGCCAGCCAAAACACTTCACCAGGGTAGTGACAGTAGGGTCCACATTGGCTGGCATTTCTAATGAAAATAAACCTTCTCCATTATTTGTGCATAGAGATAACATTTTGCTTTATGGTTTAAAAATTGATCACAAGCTCATTGCCTACATTAACATTTCTCTTGACCTTGTGACTAAGGTTTATTCACTTTGTTTAGGTATAGTGGTAGCCCAGCTGATAAAGTCTTAGCAGACTTCCCTCAGCTCACTCTGTATAGGGTCTTTGACAAGAGTGTCATTAGTATAGAACAACACATGGCACTTCTAGGAAAACAACATCATTGCTTATATAATCTTTTGTTGGCTACTTCCCCAGAAAACCTTTAAACTCTGCTATTAACTAAATCTAGCTACTGATTGAGGGAAGCAGTCTACCATGAGCCTTGCGTAGTTCTGAAGGTTCTTGCTGGGTATGTCAAGAATGCAAGTCTCCTTACTTCACACCTATTAGGATAATTAATATCAAATGAACAGAAAATAATGAATGCTGATGAAGAGGTAGAGAAACTAGGGCCTTTATGATTACTGGTGGGAATGCAAAATGATAGAGTTGCTGTGGACCAGAGTATGGTGATTTCCCAAGGAATCAAACACAGAATTACCATATGACCCAGCGATTCCTCCAAAATTAATTGCAAGCAAGGACTCAAACAGATATTTGTACATCAACATCCATATTAGCATTATTCACAGTAGCCAAAAGTAGAAACAACCCAAATATCCATTGGCAGATAAAGAGATAAAATGCGGCATAGACATAGAATAAAATATAATTCACCCTTAAAAAGAAAGGAAATTCTGCCACATGCTACAATATAGATAAATTTGAAAGACCTTACACTAAGTAAAATAAGGTAGACACAAATGGAGGTATATTTTATGATTCTACTGACATGAAGTACTCAGAGTAATCAAATTCATAGAAACAGAAAGTAAAATGGTCATTGCCTGGGGCTGGGGGGAGTAAGGAATTGATAATTAGTGTTAATGGGTACAGAGTTTCAGTTCTGCAAGATGAAAAAAATTCTGGAGATGGATAGTGGTGATGATGGCACAACAATGCAAGTGTGCTTGCCACTGAATTATACACTTAAAGTCCTTAAAATGGTAACATTTCATGTTATGTTTATTTATCACAGTAGAAAATTTGATATGTAGATGTAGACAAATAAGAATAAATACCTGTGCCAAAAGGGAAAAAAATTTAAATGTGAGGTTCTGAATGCTCTTTTTCCATACCATTTCTCTAGGTTGTATTTCTAGCAGCAACCTTGAGAGGTGAAAAAATGTTTCCCTTTGGAACGTTAAGCAGACTTGTCTACTGCTTAATGTAAAAGCAGTACATCCCCCAAGCTCAGTGTTTCTTTGCTGCAATACAAATTTATTATAGCATGTTCACCATTGACTTGGATTCCTCTGCTTTATCCTTGTGAGATTTGGGGGACAAAGTTGACTGATACAACATGACACTCATGCTAGCAATGCCGTGAGTAATGAAATGTTTGTCTCTGATCCAGGACTGTTGTGTCTTCCCCCTATTCATGAAACAGTAACAGACTAACTTATTAGCTTATAAATGGGGTAAAATCTCAGACACTACATTTCCTTGTTAATATAGGTGACTATTATTTGTGTCTACCAACTATTGAAACTTTAATCATGCACTTTTGGGACTAATGTTCCTCTACAGAACCTTGATGTAATATTAATGTGATCCAGGTATATATTTTACAGTATAGGCTATAATTTTTGGATATCTATTATAGAATCTGCCATTTTACCAATGCTTAGTTCTTCTCAAATGGTTAAACTGATAGGTCTAGTGTAAGCATACAACCCTGCTATAGCTTTAAGGCTTAGCTACCACAAGTAGAGTAGATATTCCTCTGAGACTTTTTATGAATCTAACAAGCTATGATAACAAAGGAGTTCTCTAATTTCGCTGGGTACTTCAATCAAACACTGAAAATGATTAATGACTTTGAGGGCAACACAATATTCAAAATGAATCTTGGTTATTAAAATGATAGGCTATAATTTAGTTGATATATTAAAAACCACAGAGAACTTTCTAGATGACTACTGTATAAAAGTAGAAGCCCTTATTGGTTTTTCCACCAACTGGTAAAACCAATTGCTCAAACTGATTTTATTAATCCAAAATACTTATTCAAATTTCAAGAAAATCACAAAGAAAATTTCTTGGAAATAACTTATTTGTACTTAGCATAACCAAAGATCAGTTACCAAAGTGTAAAGTTTTAAAAGTCATTTACCAAAGAAGAAACTTTTCATTTTAATTAAAGCTTTTGTTTGAGCTAAAGTTTTACTCCTAGATAAAATGTTAATGTGATCTTGTCCCAAAATGCTCATAAACTCTCATTTTCTAAATGTTACAAGAAGGTACGTGACTCTTGGCTTGAATCCTGCTCTGACAGATTCCATATCATTGAATTTGTATCCTGTCAAGTATTTACAAAATTAATATATGTGCAGAGTCATGTGCACAATTAATACAAAATGTATTTCCAAGAGGGATATGATTGGACGTATCCCTCCAAGAGAATGAGTTTATTGGAAGAAACACACTTAGCATTAGAACTATGCTACAAAAAGCCATTTTGATTAATTTTTTAATCACAAAGAATCTGTTTAAGCTCTATGAAAAACACTAGAGAAGACATGATTCTAAGGATAAAAGTGTTTAGGGTCCTATAATCTGGACATCCAGACCCATGTTAAATCTGACCTAGAGGCCTATTAAAAAGCCTCCAGAAGCAGACAACTTCCAGTAGAGATATTCCTTCAAAAGTCTATAGATCAGGAAGATGACATTAAAAGTACATTCAGTCATATGAAGCTTTCACTCAAGATATTTCAGGTAAAACTTCATGATCAGAAAAACATGCCCTCATTTTGATTCTATTTTATCACCTGGACACCCCTCTTTTTCTCACTTTCTTCATTTTGTCTTAGTTCAAGGTATTAGGCTATGCAAATTGAAATCCCAGTCATTTTTCTCATTTTCTTGACTAATTTCATTCTGATAAACCCTGTGAACTCATTGCAACTTTCCAGAATATTACTAATGCTAAAGCATCTAGACGTTATGGCTAAAATGCAGGTCCTCAAAATTAGCTGCAGTTGCTGATATTTTTTTAGAGCCTCATGAGAAAGATAATGGCATATGGAATTAATGATAAATTATGACCAATTATTTTCTCATAAAGCTACACAGAAATCATTGCATGTTTTTTCTAAACTCTGGGATTTTATTCTGAATACAAAAATTAATTAAATTCAGGTGACATTTGATAAATAATAGTGACTATGAAAAACATACTTGTGTCTCCACAAGACATACTCTTGGAATTATTATTATGAAGAAATCATGATTTTCTATAATCATATTCAAACATAAACATTGTTTTGGACATCGTGTTCTGGCCTTTCCATTTACTGAAACAAACCATTCAGTTGCTCATATTTTATTGAATCAATGTGGTAGTTTATAAAGAGGGACTCAAGACATCAGAATTTATCATATATATGTACATGTATACATATGCGTTCCATTTTGTGTGTGTATGTGTGTGCTTGTGTGTGTAGGTGTGAGTGTTTGTGTGTAGGTGTTGAGAGGTGATAGCGTGCTGGCAGTCTTCAGAGCCCTCGCTTGTTCTCGGCACCTCCCCTGCCTGGGCTCCCACTTTGGCGGCATTTGAGGAGCCCTTCAGCCCCCACTGCACTGTGGGAGCCCCTTTCTGGGCTGGCCAAGGCTGGAGCCCTCTCCTTCAGCTTGCAGGGAGGTGTGGAGGGGGAGGCACGAGCGGGAACCGGGGCTGCGTGTGGCGCTGGCGGGCCAGCTGGAGTTCTGGGTGGGCATGGGCTTGGCGGGCCCCACACTGGGAGCAGCCGGCCAGCCCTGCTGGCCCCGGGCAATGAGGGACTTAGCACCTGAGCCAGCGGCTGCGGAGGGTGTACTGGGTCCCCCAGCAGTGCCGGCCCACCGGTGCTGCGCTCAATTTCTCGCCGGGCCTTAGCTGCCTTCCCACAGGGCAGGGCTTGGGACCTGCAGCCCACCATGCCTGAGCCTCCCACCCACTCCATGGGCTCCTGTGCAGCCCGAGCCTCCCTGACGAGCACCGCCCCCTGCTCCACGGAGCCCAGTCCCATCGACCACCCTAGGGCTGAGGAGTGCAAGTGCACGGCGCGGGACTGGCAGGCAGCTCCACCTGCAGCCCCGGTGTGGGATCCACTAGGTGAAGCCAGCTGGGCTCCTGAGTCTGGTGGGGAGGTGGAGAGTCTTTATGTCTAGCTCAGGGATTGTAAATACACCAATCAGCACCCTGTGTTTAGCTCAAGGTTTGTGAGTGCACCAATCGACACTCTGTATCTAGCTGCTCTGGTGAGGACGTGGAGAGTCTTTATCTCTAGCTCAGGGATTGTAAATACACCAATCAGCACCCTGTGTTTAGCTCAAGGTTTGTGAGTGCACCAATCGACACTCTGTATCTAGCTGCTCTGGTGAGGACGTGGAGAACCTTTATGTCTAGCTCAAGGATTGTAAATACACCAATCAGCACTCTGTATCTAGCTCAAGGTTTGTAAACACACCAATCAGCACCCTGTGTTTAGCTCAAGGTTTATGAATGCACCAATTGACACTCTGTATCTAGCTGCTCTGGTGAGGACGTGCAGAGTCTTTATATCTAGCTCAGGGATTGTAAATACACCAATCAGCACCCTGTGTTTAGCTCAAGGTTTGTGAATGCACCAATCGACACTCTGTATGTATCTAGCTGCTCTGGTGGGGCCTTGGAGAACCTGTGTGTGGAAACTCTATATCTAACTAATCTGATGGGGAGGTGGAGAACCTTCGTATCTAGCTCAGGGATTGTAAACGCACCAATCAGCGCCCTGTTAAAACAGGTCACTCGGCTCTACCAATCAGCAGCATGTGGGTGGGGCCAGATAAGAGAATAAAAGCAGGCTGCCCGAGCCAGCATTGGCAACCCGCTGGGGTCCCCTTCTACAGTGTGGAAGGTTTGTTCTTTTGCCCTTTGCAATAAATCTTGCTACTGCTCATTCTTTGGGTGCACGCTGCTTTTATGAGCTGTAACACTCACCGCGAAGATTTGCAGCTTCAGTCCTGAGCCCAGTGGGACCACCAACCCACCAGGAGGAACGAACTCCGGACGCGCCACCTTAAGAGCTGTAACACTCACCGTGAAGGTCTGCAACTTCACTCCTGAGCCAGCGAGACCACGAACCCACTAGAAGGAAGAAACTCTGAACACATCTGAACATCAGAAGAGACAGACTCCAGATGCGCCACCTTAAAAGCTGTAACACTCACGGCGAGGGTCCGCGGCTTCATTCTTGAAGTCAGTGAGACCAAGAACCCACCAATTCCGGACACAGTGTCAGTGTGTGTATGTGTGTGTGTGTGTTTGTGTGTATGTGTGTATGTGTATGTTTGTGTGTGTAGGTGTTTCTACCTTATCCAAGTTGTTTCCCAACTAACATACGTGATCCATAATTTATCCTTGACTATGGACTACGCAGTAAACAAAGCACTTCAGGTTTTAGAAACTCAACAGAATAGCAGCAACGTGTTGACTAGGATAGTCCTAAATAATAGATAATTGGCAATTTAATGTCCTTCCAAGAGAAAATCTTCACCATACCTGAAATATCTGGAATCTGAATAAACATTAGGTAAATAAAATTGATTTAATTGATCTTAGGAGTTATTTTTCTCGTTAAGCTAAACCCAAGAAAAACTTAGATGCTAAGTGAGCTCCAAATATTTCTTAAAATACTTGGGATTATTCCCAAACTTTTTATCTTTTTTAACCTTCTCATTATCTTGATTTTTTTTTTTTTTTTTTGAGACGGAGACTCACTCTGTCGCCCCAGGCTGTGCATTGGCGCCATCTCGGCTCACTGCAAGCTCCGCCTCCCGGGTTCACGCCGTTCTCCTGCCTCATCCTCCCGAGTAGCTGGGACTATAGGCGCCTGCCCCCGCGCCCAGCTAATTTTTTTTGTATTTTTAGTAGAGACGGAGTTTCACAGTGTTAGCAAGGATGGTCTGTATCTCCCGACCTCGTGATCCACCTGCCTCCGCCTCCCAAAGTGCTGGGATTACAGGCTTGAGCCACCGCACCCAGCCTATCTTGATTCTTATATCTTGCTTCACAGCCGTAACCCTGACCTGACATTCAACTCATAATACAGTGTTGAAGAAAAAAAAAAAACCTCTATAGGAAAAATCTGTTCATCTAGGAGCTGGATTTTAACCAAAGAAAACAGGGATATAAGATCTATTTTAAAGGGATATGATGCAGTCTGATTTAATTGTGTTCAGAGTGGCAATAGAAGGAGAGTGGCACGTAATGCCTGGACACAGTTTGTCCTAGCGGAACTGTCGAGCCTTTTCAGATAATCTAGAAATAACTGAAAGTTTTCTCTGTTGACTATCCCAGAGACTGACCCCTTAGTGTCCCTCTTGTCAGTCAGTATACTCAGGATAAAGAAAACTAAACTCATTTTTCAGACTTTTTTTAAATGCCTTTGCCCTTTTGTTTTATAAATCCAATTTTTATCTCTGATGATAATCTATTGATTGTTCTCCCACATATATTAAAATTGCTTGTTGATAACTAAACTGACATGGAGTTATTTTTGACAACACAAAAATGTAGAGTACAATACAGTTGCATTTAAAATCAATAAGACAAGTGTAGTCTATTATTATTTAGGGACAAATGTCTGGTTTGTTTGATAAAAGTAATATTAGACTCCTACCTCCCGCAATTTAGATATATAAATTGCAGGTAAATTTTTATAATTTTACATATATTTGTCAGAAGAAAACAGAAAAATATAATAAAGTTCAAATACAAATTATAAATCTTTATGCCATCTGTCCCGCCAATTAGAAAAAAGTCATAAAATTAAATGAGATGTTGAGTGGAGGACTGCCTCAATACTTTCTGCTTAAGATGTGTGTCTAAGACAAAATGGTAGCTAAAGATAGAGATAAAAAGGGTTACTGTGCATATAATGGACAACTTACAGCATTTAATAATAAATTTAACCTTCAGAAAACACACATCGAAGTTAATATTTATATTCACAAACTTGATGATTGAAGGTACTGTGAATTTCACACTATTTGAATATGATGGCAGAGTTAAGAGATTATAAACCAGTCTGAAATATTACTTAAATGTGACTGTCTCATCTGCATGCAAATAGCAGTTATTTTTTACATTCCTCTTTTTTATTTTTCTAAGGCCAGAAATTAAATATTTATACATGTAAGAACTTGCTTTTTTCCTTAACTCTCCAAGAGTATTCTTATCTGGTTTTATTAGAATAATACGGCCTCTGGGAGCAAAGATACCACCTAGCACTCAGCACTGGAAGTCAAGGTGGAGAATATTTCCAAGGCAACCATGACCTTCCCTTTGGTGCTATGTTACACAGTATGGAAGGTAATTCAAACAGTACATAACATCAGCATGCTGAACATCAAGAACTTGGCTTCATTGAAGGTGTCAGGCAGGCTCCTGGCCAGGAAAGCCAAGATGAAGCTCCCCAGTGCCAAAAAGGTCAAGAATCCCAGAACAGAGTGGAAGGCAAAGAATACCTCATCATTGAGAGTCCTGATGGCACTCTTTGATCCCATGCCAAATTCCAGAGAGTTACTTGGATAAGGAAACAGATGAAAATAACTGTGCTAAATACTCCCGGTCCCCAAAACCACTTTGGCTTTCTCTCTGATGCTGTAGCCTTACAGGCTATAAGCACAGTGATAGTTTTAGCTAACGCAGTTGAAACAACCACAGTAAAAATGATTCCAAATGTTGTCTGTCAGAGGTTACAAGTGACTGTGTTTGTACAGCCAGTGAAGAGCAAGGAGCAGAAGAAAACAGACAGAGAGATGTCGCTGAGAGTCTTGACTATGAGTGTGTGTATGTGCTTCACAAAGATCATAAGAACCATGGCTGTATTAGTCCATTTTCACACTGCTGATAAAGATATATCAGAGACTGGGTAATTTATAAAGGAAGAGAGCCTTAATGGACACACAGTTCCACGTGGCTGGGGAGGCCTCACAATCACGGCTGAAGGTGAAAGGTACGTCTTACCATGGCGGCCTGCAAGGGAGCACGAGAGCCAAGCGAAAGGGGAAGCCTTTTAATAAAATTATCAGATCTTGTGAGACTTAGAACAGTATGGGAGCAACTGCGCCCATGATTCAATTATCTCCCACCAGCTCCCTCTCACAACATGTGGGAATTATGGGAGCTATAATTCAAGATGAGATTAGGGTGGGGACACAGCGAAACCATATCAATGGCAGTGAGGACAGAGAAACAGAGAGCTATGCTGGCCAGTGCTGTCCCCAGTGCATCTTCAAAGTCCAGGAAGGTCACAACTCTGTGAGGCAGTGATCGCTCTCACTGAATACTGGTTGTCTGGGCATTTTGCACATTCATTGGAGTCTGATTTTAAAAAGTCAAAAGCTTATTGTCTCAAGTTCTGAAATGCTTCCTTTTTCCACAGGACTAAACAATGATAACATTAGTCATCTTAAAGCACATTGTCCACCTATTCTCCATACTTCATGAAATTATAAGATTTTACAAATTAACTCATTCCAGTTTAGCAGTATTTATCCCCCTTGTCATTTATATGAAGAAAGATTTTTTTTAATCTTTTACATAGATGTGCATGCTACTCCTATTTTTTATCTGATGATGAGACCATTACAATCTTTAAGACATTCCAAATATCTATTTGGCAGGCTAAGCCTTAAATTTGTTCATTTATACAAGAAATTTATTCGTTTACACAAGAAAGCTTTAACTGGCGAGCCAGACCCTTAGTTGAATTCTAGAAATACTGCAATGACCAAGGCATACTGCTTTTTTCAAAATTAAAAAAAAACACCCCCTCAAACTCCCATTAGATTGACCATGAGACATTAAGTTGCACTGGTCCAGAATCTGGGCATTACTCATGATTTTTTACTTCACAAAAAAACACAACTAATACATCAGCGAATCCTCTTCACTCTCCCATCAAAATACTTCCTAATTCTAATCACTTCTTGTCACTTCCACTTGGCCGTCCTGATCTAAGACAATGTAATCTCTTTAGTAGAGACGGGGTTTCACCATGTTAGCCATGATGGTCTCGATCTCCTGACTTCATGATCCACCTGCCTCGGCCTCCCAAAGTGCTGGGATTACAGGCGTGAGCCACCGTGCCCAGCCTGAAGGCCTACTTTCATGGGGAAATGATCTAAGAAAAAGAAAACAAAAAAATCTTCTTGCCAGTGAAAGGAGATAAGTTCTCAGCCTCAGTTTGGAGTCTGGGTGGCAAAAGAGAAAAATGTCTCTTCTGAGAAATTTTTATTCAAAAACTTGTCTTCATACTGGTTTGGGATTTAATTTTAAATGTATTTGTATAGTCAAGGAAAACTTTAAGTGCATAAATTAAATGTCTTCTGATTATTAACAACGCAGGTGCTTGGATGAAACACAGGCAATCCTGTAAGAGGGACTGATCCTCGAAATATTTATTACTCACCATGAAGTTATACAGACACTAAGACCAAATGAACATGTAAACCACACAATGAAGAGTCAACATAAACAACAAACAACAAAATGCAACCAGAAGGCATTTTAGACTTTATAATTTTCAGATATAGGATCAAAATATGTATAGGCTTAAACTCTTTAAGGAAACAAATAGGGTGTCAAATTGTGAGCAGGAATTGGGAGATGAACAAAATCAATCAGCAAGATTCTTAAAAAAATAAAAAATATAAATATAAACATTAGAATTATGGGATGAGCTAATATGCATGTTAATAGCCATAGCAATGCTATCAAACAAAGCCACTTCCTCCAAAAATGGGGTCTTTACTTGTTCGGTGCTGCAAAGGCAATACACAAAACTGAAGGTGAGCACCAAGCAGTGCAAGCTTTACTTGATGGCCGTGGACTTGAGAAGCAGAAGCATGGCTCACAAATCACTTCTCGACTAATGAGAGGTGAGGAGGTTAAAATAAAATACAGGGTTTCTCTAATGAAGGGATTGGACATTAAAAGCAAGGGGAAGAATATTCATGCATTTTCCAGGAATGAGCAGCAACTTCACAGAACTCCTAGTGCCACCTTCCTTTTTGAACTTTTATGATTTCTGGTCAGCGTCATGATGATTGTCAAGTGTCATGACACCAGTGGAAGTGTCTTTTTTTTTTTCTTTCCTTTTTTTCTTGGTGATGGAGTCTCACTCTGTCACCAAGGTTGGAGTGCAGTGGCACGACCTGGGCTCACTGCAACCTCCGCTTCCCGGGTTCAAGCAATTCTCCTGCCTCAGCCTCCCAAGTAGCTGGGACTACAGGCGCACGCTGCCACGCCTGGCTATATTTTTTGTATTTTTAGTAGAGATGTGGTTTCACTGTGTTACCCAGGCTGGTCTCGAACTCCTGAACTCAGGCAATCTGCCCGCCTCAGCCTTCCAAAGTGCTAGGATTTCTTTTCTATTTTAAGAGATGGGGCCTTGCTCTGTTGCCCAGGCTTGAGTGCAGTGGTGCAATCATGGCTCGCTGCAGCCTTGAACTCCCGGGCCTAAGTGATCCACCCCCTTTAGCCTTCTGAGTAGCTGAGACTATAGGTGTGTGACACCACACTTGGGTAATTTTAAATTTTTTTTTTTTTTTTTTTTTTTTTTTTTTTTTTGTGGAGACCAGGTCTTATTCTGTTGACCAGGCTGGTCTCAAATTCTTGTGCTCAAGCAATCCTCCTACATTGGCCTCCCAAAGGGCTTGGATTACAGGGATGTACAACCGTGCCTGGCCAGGAGTGCCATTTAGCATGGAAATGAGATTATAATGAAGCCTGAGGCTTTAGCTATCCTGGTTCTAACAAGTGTCAGTGGGTCTGGTTACAAAGGGAACTTCCTAGAGCAAGTGTCGTGTTTTTTAAAGATAAGCAGAGTTAGGGCAGTGTGGAAATTCAGCTATGTCATGGCAGCATGCTACCACTTAACAGTAATATCTGAAAAATTAGTAACATGGAAATTTTTTGTACATTTTAGACAGATCATATAAAAATACAAAGAAATAATATATGTGATAAATATCAAGTTACATATAAAGTAGAATAAAAATGGCTAAATTATACTGGTTACTTTTTATTTCATGAGTTGAACTCAACAGGATATAAGGATTGAGCATCTGCCTTTATATGCATATAGTCCAATTCAAACACAAACTGTGCAGTGGAATAACAAGGAGAAATTGACAAATTTGACAAATCTATCCATGATGGTAGATATCAATGTATCTCCCTCATGAATAAAGAGTTTAATTAGACATAATGTAAAGAAGAATACAAGTAATTTAAGGAACATAATGAATAAGACTGATATAATAAACATGCACAGAACTCTGAACCTCCAAGTCAGTGACTACTCATTTTTCACAAGTACACATGGACAGTTCATTAAAATTGAGCATTCACTGGCTAAAGAGCAAGACTCTTGTCTACAATACAATTAAATTAGTAATCAATCAACAAAATCAAAATCCTAATTTTTTTACATTTTAAATATATGTATAAATAACTAATGGATCAAGAAGAAATAAAAAATTTAAACACAAAACCTATAACTTAGAACTTATACATCAGCTGAAGGAGAAATACAAAGTTAAAATAAACAATATGTATTAGTCCATTTTCACACCGCTATAAAGAACTAGTTGAGGCTGGGTGCGGTGGCTCACGCCTGTAATCCCAGCACTTTGGGAGGCCGAGGCGGGCAGATCACAAGGTCAGGATCCTGATCGAGACCATCATGGCTAACACGGTGAAACCTCGTCTCTACTAAAAATATAAAAAATTGGCCGGGCGTGGTGTCGGGCACCTGTAGTCCCAGCTACTCGGGAGGCTGAGGCAGGAGAATGGCGTGAACCCGGGAGGCGGAGTTTGCAGTGAGCCGAGATCACGCCACTGCACTCCAGCCTGGGTGACAGAGCGAGACGCCGTCTCAAAAGAAAAAAAAAAAAAAACTACTTGAGAGTGGATAACTTACAAAAAAAAAAAAAGAGATTTAATTAACTCACACTTCCACAGGCTTAACAGGAAGCATGACAGGGAGGCCTCAGGAAACCTACAATCATGGCAGAAGGTGAAGGGGAAGCAAGGATCTTCTTCACGTGGTGGCAGGAGAGAGAGAGAGAACAGGGAAGTGCCACACACGTTTAAACCATGAGATCTCATGAGAACTCACCCACTCTCACAGAACAGCAAGGGGGAAATCCACCCCCATGATCCAATTACCTCCCACCAGACCCCTCCTCCAATTCCACCTGAGATTTGGGCAGGGACACAAATCCAACCCATATCACAATAATAATTTAAAATAGAGTTAGTTGTTAAAAATAGAGCCACAAGATACACACCAGAGCCATGTGATCTTATACCCAAATAACAGTGTTCAAGAAATAGTAAATTTTCATCTTTTAATAAATTAGAAAAAGACTCCTCGATTTGAGAAGCTAGCATACCATTGATAACAAAACAAATCGTAGAATGGTAAAGTAAAATTAGAGAACATTTCCAGTTAGGAATATGGATATAAATACCCTGTGTACCACAAAATATTAAAGAAAGCATCCTGGTGGAGAAGGAAGGAGGGATGGATAGGTGGAGCATAAGGGACTTTGAAGGCAGCCATAATATTTTGTCTGATACTGCAATAGTGGATACATGACATTATAAATTTGTCAACACCCATAAAATTCTATAACACAGACTGAACCCTAAAGTATGGATTTCAGTTAATAATAGTGTATCAATGTTGGTTCATCAATTGTAACACATGCATCACCCTAACGCAAAGTGTTATAGAAAATACAAATTATAGAGAAACGGGGAAGAAGGGAGGTATATATACTCTTTGTACTTTCCCTTCAAATTTTTTAAAACGTGAAACTACTCTAAAGAATAATGTCTATTAAAAATTATGATCAATTTCAGTTTATCCTAGGAAAGCAAGGATAAGTTAATAGGTATACATATATACATATATATAAATTTAATAATCTATACTAACAAATCATTACAGAAAATCATACGCATTTTAGTAGACACCAAACTAACTTGTAATTCATAAAAGAATGTCTGAGTAACCTGTGGCCGGGAGTGGTGGCTCACGCCTGTAATCCCAGCACTTTGGGAGGCTGAGGTGGGCGGATCACGAGGTCAGGAGATCGAGACCATCCTGGCTAACACGGTGAAACCCCGTCTCTACTAAAAATACAAAAAAAATTAGCAGGGCATGGTGGTGGGCACCTGTAACCCCAGCTACTCGGGAGGGTGAGGCAGGAGAATGGCATGAACCTGGGAAGCAGAGCTTGCAGTGAGCTGAGATGGCATCACTGGACTCCAGCCTGGGCGACAGAGCGAGACTCCGTTCCGTCTCAAAAAAAAAAAAGAATGTCTGAGTAACCTAACAGTACAAGTAAAGTTATTACCAGAAATATACAGAAAGCATCAAGGTGAAATATAAGAATTATTCCATTTGAAAGGGGTATGATATGCACAAAGATGAAAATTGAGCTCCTATAAAATAACATAAGGATTTGAAATAAAGACACAAAACTTACTGTTTAGAGTTAGTATCATTGACTATAAAAACCAAGACAATCTTAATTATAACAATGAGGAAGATAATAGAAATTCAGAATATCAAAAATATTTTTATGTAGAAATAAAAACAAAACATTTAATTTTAGAAATATATTATTTAATGCATTTTTGTTACATGTGTAGTGATAAAATAATAAAATAAATTTAGAAAGAAATATATTATTTAATAAGATATAAAAATCTGAGGACCAATACAGTATTGTGGTTAAAACCATGGATTTTGACAGGAACTCCTTTGGTTAAAATTGTGACTCATCACTAAGAGTATAATGGTGAATAAGTTACTTAACGTTCCTTTGCACCCCTTTTCTTATCTAAAACAAATATGAAAGGGATCTGACTCATAGCAGTGTTCTGAGTAATATAACAGACATACATAAAACCACTAAAACAATGCTTGGCACATAGTTAATGATTATTCAGTACCATTATTACCATCATTGTCATTTTATTATGCAATTTAATGTTTGTTCTTTGGTAAGCAATGAATAAGAAATATTAAAAGGTAGAAGCGTGTATAGGTGGGATACGTATCAACATACATATGTATAGGCGTGTGTACATATCAACTACGTAGAGGGTTCAAATCAGGTGAAATTACCTGCATGAATCAACTCTATTCTGGTATCCATATTCAGTAAAAAGCTATCTTTGAAATTGTGACTAACCTCTGAAAACAACAATGGCCCATTTGATCCTTTCCTCGTGTATAGTAAAATCTTGACCACGTGGAAAACACATTCTCCTAGCTTCCCTTGATGTTGGAGACCATCAAGCAAATTACAATAATTCAGAATATCATACTATGCAACAGAGTTCCTATTCTAATCTGGGTACCTGATCATCAGCACTGGTCATAAATTCCGTGGTCCTTAAGAGAGTAAAGCTAAAAGGGATGCATCAGGGAGTAATAAAAAAAATGCATTATGCTATGAAACGTTAACTGAAGCATTGTTCCTCCCTGATCCTTGAAGACTAAAAGCTCAAATTCAACTTTATACTTTGATGAAAATAAAGACAATTGTGGTTTCGATTTTTATTATTATTATTTTTTTTTGAGATGGAGTCTCATTCTGTTGCCCAGGCTGGAGTATAGTGGCGCGATCTTGGCTTACTGCAACCTCTGCCTCCTGGGTTCAAGCGATTCTCCTGTCTCAGCCTCCCATGTAGCTGGGACTATAGGCACCCGCCACCACACCCAGCTAATTTTTGTATTTTTAGTAGAGACAGGGTTTCACCATATTGGTCAGGCTGGTCTCAAACTCCTGACCTCAGGTGATCAGCCCCCCCTCAGCCTACCAAAGTGTTGGGATTACAGGAGTGAGCCACTGTACCTGGCCACTTTCAAATTTTTGATGATCCATTTACAGGCAGTGTGTAAGAATTTTACCGAGTGTCTCTGAATATGAGTTTTTCTCATACATAAAATAGAAATAGCAATTCATATCTCTTAATGTTATTTTGAATTAAAAGAAAAAATATAATCACCATTTATGCTGAACACAAAGTAAGGGCTCAAAACTAATTTCTTTTCCCCAGTCATTTCTAGACAGTTAATATCATAGATCAAAAAATTTAAATCAGATTGAAAATGAGTATTGGAAATACGGGACAAACATTTAATCTTAGAACAAATATGACAAAGTTTCTTCTAGCCAGAGATATCTATGTGACGATCATCTATACACACACATACACACACACACACACACATATCAAAACTGAAAACTCTCCGGACTATATATGGTTTCTCATTGTAAAAGCAAGTAGACATATTCATTTTCAGAATTTATATTCAGAATGTAAAATTTCAATGTGTTTTGCCTGCGTTATTATGCAGGTTTTGAGAAAATCTCATTTATGACTATATGTTTCAAGAATCGATGGGCTCCAGGGCCGACAATGCCCTAGCGGAAATCATTACCTGCCAGGGATGAAACAGCACTGCATCTACATTTTCCTCATATCCCACTGTATTTCTAAAAGCAGCACTTAGCATAGGGCATTGGCTGCACACGCAGCATCATAGATGGTCTTAATGAAATCAGATGCAATCCAGTCAAAGCAACGCAAAGGCACAGGACCCAAGAAAGCATTTCGTGGGCAACCTCCTAGGGTTTCACAGCCAGAATCAGAAAGGAAGCAATCCAAGGAAAAAAGCCACGGTTTATTATGGAAAATGTGTTCTGGGTGTGCGGAAGGGCTGTCTGAACAAAATGCTGGAAGCCAGGCATCTCACTGTTCTGCTTTGAAAAAGTGAGAGTCCCATGGAATGGATTAAGTATGAAACTTCCCCCATGTGTGATAAAGTCCCACTGGGAGGTGGTAACACACGCTTTCCACGTTTTCAAAGTATTCCATCCCAGAACGTCAGGAGGATTAGGGGGTCTGTGTCACCACAGACAGCAGTCACATTTGTTGATGGATCTTCAGTCTTGGCCAATGTTATCCTGCCTGCTGATGGCAGAACACCCTCCAAGACAGTTTCTTTGTAAAGCCTGAATAGATGCCTTCCCTGGCCACTTCTCTCAGTTCCTAGAAAAAATGCCCACTTTTTTTTTTTCTTTTTTTTTTGAGACGGAGTCTAGCTGTGTCGCCCAGGCTGGAGTGCAGAGGTGCAATCTCGGCTCACAGCAACCTCTGCCTCCCGGGTTAAAGCGATTCTCCCGCCTCAGCCTTCTGAGTAGCTGGGATTACAGGCATGCACTGCCATACCCAGCTAATTTTTCTATTTTTAGTAGAGACGGGGTTTCTCCATGTTGGTCAGGCTGGTCTCCAACTCCCGACTTCAGGTGATCCACCAGCCTTGGCCCTCCAAAGAGCTGGGATTACAGGCGTGAGCCACCGTGCCTGGCCGAAAATGCCCACCTTTTATGTCATCCGAGACAAGCAGCCCTACCAGATCTAGCTAAAATGCTGCAACAGCTTCACCATGCCAAGAGGCAAAGATGATTCCTTGGGACCATCTGATACAGAGATGGAAACTGTCCTTCATCATTAGGCAAAGGATCAAATGGACATAACTAATCTTAGAGGAAAAGGAAAAACAATATCCATTTATATTCAGAAGTGATTTGAGGGAGAAGGGCACAATCAAACACAATACATCAGGCACTTCACTTTCTACTCCTAGAAGAAATTCAAAGCTAGCAAGTAAATTACTAGAGAAATTGATGAACGTGTGTAAAGGCAAAATGCTCAGAGTTTTTCTTAACAAGAGTTAAAATTGTACTCAACTCATTCATGAGAAAACCATCCTGAAGACAAAAGTCCTGATTTGTAGACCATTTGAAGAGCAAGGTTTCATATAGCCATTGGCAAACAGGTAAGCTGTAATAAAATTTCTAAGAAACATACAAAATTGGTTAATATTATCCAGGGTAATAAAATTGTAAACAAAGTTTCTTCTCTGCCAGCCTCCCTTCCCCTCCCCAAAATCTCAGTTTACCAAATCTCCCTATAAGCTAATCTGTGGGTTTACAGGGCTATAAAAATTCCAATTTTGACTATTAGTCAAGGATACGATTCTGGAGAGAGTCAGAGGATGGTCAAAAATTCTTCGCAAAGCCGGGTGCAGTGGCTCACGCCTGTGATCCCAGCACTTCAGGAGGCTGAGGTGGGCGGACTACCCGAGGTTGGGAGTTCGAGACCAGCCTGACCAACATGAAGAAACCCCGTCTCTACTAAAAATACAAAAATTAACCAGGCGTGGTGGCGCACGCCTGTAATCCCAGATACTCAGGAGGCTAGGGAAGGAGAATCACTTGAACCCGGGAGGCAGAGGTTGCTGTGAGCCGAGATCGCACCATCGCACTCCAGCCTGGGCAACAAGAGCGAAACTCTGTCTCAAAAAAAAAAAAAAATTATTTGGAGATATAGCAGTTAGATAATAACAGCATGATAGTAAAGAATAAAGCAATTATTATTTCACCATTTTGAAGCTGAAGATACTACATTCTCTTTTGGAAAGGGGAAGATTTACTTGTTGATTTTTTTTTAATGTATCATCTTCCCTCTGGGAAAAATTAATCTGGAAAGTAAGTGTTCAGATATAGAGTTCCCAGAGCTGGCCTGGCTGTGCCAGCCAGGGATGCCTCACTGCTGCCCATCTCATTCTGCCTCCTTCTTACCCTAAATAAACACTGGCAGTGCAAGGACTTTCTGTCACCTTTGGGGGCATCAAAGACTGTTCTGAGCCACCTTTTGTTGACATGCCTTGTAATAACAGCAAAGGACATTCAATGTCATCTCTGACCCACCCCATCCTGTCTCACCTGTGGTAGTTTGTAGATTTCCATCAACATCTCCAACTGAAAAACAAATGCTGATATAGTTCCTTCAATCGCTGCTATGGATTTGCTCTGCCTCTCACATGTATAATTGGGAAGGTTCTCGGCCCCTCCTGACAGCCAAAACAGAGGGCCCTCCAAAGTCCTCTGATTAATGTGGTAGGTATTGTAGACGTGATACCCCAAAGACATGTAGAGTAAGAGCAGCGGGCCCCTGTTGATGTCCTCGATGGCAAAAACGAACACGAAAAGAGTCAAAATGCATGTTTAGAGGACAAACTCTCACACCTCCCACTCAAGGCCTCACAAAAGCCATCTCTACCCTGACCTGAGCATGTGAAAATGAGGTACACGAGACTCAGAGCCGTGAATTAGCTGAGTACCAGAGGATAAATCAGTATGCAAAGAGAGTACAATTTAAGACGCTGCAATTTAATGGTGAGTTGGGTTTCCAAAGGAGTCAGTAAGTGGCAGGACTTCAAGGGCGTTTATTCACTTTGTTTACCAAGAAACTAACGAGTGGCTGAAATTGAAACTAAAGTAGACAGTGGGCGTGGGATAAGAAAAGATATTGAGGATAAAAGATCAGGGTCCATATAAGAGGCCAGGCTGGACAAGGAATCAGAGAGGGCAGGTAAGAAAGGAGAATGTATTTTGGAGGAAATGGCCTCACACATTGGCTGGGTTGCGGATGCTTAAACATCATTTGGTTGTGCCTCTTGGGTGAGAAAAAATAAATCCAGGCTTTAGAGCCCTTAGAAAAGAGTGGGGGAAGCATGGCATTGTAATGATTCTGGGAGAAGCATAAAGAGGCCAACAATGACTAATCACAAGCAAAGAAAATTCTAAAAGCATTGTGGCCTTTAAAAAAAAATTTATATCATCCAAATACCTCAAGCAATGCTGGCAAGAGCTAAATTCAATTTTCCTTCACTCTTTTTCTGACTTACAAGCAGCCTCATTTCATGTTGAAATGCCTCCCTTCCCCAAAGTTGCAGGATAAGCACAATCCCAACAAATGACCCAATAGAACAAGGACTGCCTTCAGCTATGTTGTTCTTTCTAATTTTCAGTGGAAAAAGCAAATTCTTAAAGGTCTTCAAGAGGTAGAAGGGCTGTAGGAGGCATTCGGGTATTATAATAATTGCAGATTCTATGGTAGCCTATGTATAATATTGTGTGTGATATTCTCAAGCCCACTGCTAAGTACGCATAAATATCCACACTTCATATGTGGTAATATTTCCTGAAATAGGATAAATGCAAGATAAATTCTAAGCACAAATTTAAATGCACTTCTGACTTTAAAACTTGTTATCTCTTATATATCCTTTGACCTCCTTAGAAATGACATTTAACTCCCTAAAAAAATACTAGAGCTTGTTAGTCAGGCAAACTACATTTACTAGACTTACTAGTACTCTCATTGAAGAAACAGTGAGTGTATTAGTCCATTCTCACATTGCTATCCAGACACACCTAAGTCTGGGTAATTTATTATTTTTTTATTTATCTGAGGCAGAGTCTTGCTCTGTCACCCAAGCTGGAGTGCAGTGGCACGATCTCGGCTCACTGCAAGTTCCGCCTCCCAGGTTCAAGCGATTCTTCTGCCTCAGCCTTCCAAGTAGCTGGGATTACAGGTGTGCACCACCACGCCTGGCTAATTCCATGCCTGGCTCTCTTACTGTAAATGAGAATAAGAAAGAATATAGTCTGCTCAAAGTCTCAGTATAATAGCATGTCTCAAAATAGAATATTGGGCAGAGTGTTCATAGGGTTTCAGACACTCAGCGGAATGTTAAAATCACCCAGGGTCTAGGCTGGGTGCGATGGCTCATGCCTGTAATCCCAGCACTTTGGGAGGCCGAGGCGGGCGGATCACAAGGTCAGGAGATCAAGACCATCCTGGCTAACACCGTGAAACCCCATCTCTACTAAAAATAAAAAAAATTAGCCGGATGTGGTGGTGGGCGCCTGTAGTCTCAGCTACTCGGGAGGCTGAGGCAGGAGAATGGCGTGAACCCGGGAGGCGGAGCTTGCAATGAGCCAAGATCACACCATTGCACTCCAGCCTGGGCGACACAGCGACGCTGTCTCAAAAAAAAAAAAAAATTCACCCAGGGTCTTACAAGGAGCAGAACAAGTTGGGACTAATCAGAGTTTCTGATATAACAGCTGTGGACTGCAGGAGCTAGCTAAGTCTTAAAGCAAACCTTAATAAATCAGCTCTTAGTCCAATAAGTAAGTTGTTGAATTGGTTCAGCCTTTTTTTTTTCCAGGAGCAGTTATTCCCTGCAACAAGCAGTTTTTTTTTTTGACTTGTTCTCGGTGTTGTTCATCAAAAATAGGACAGTGTGCTTAATCTCAAGACTGTTTAGCACAGAGAGGGAGAGAGTATGTTGGCCTCAAAAACTGTTGAACATTATGACAGGAAACTATGCAGGTTTGTAGCATTATTGAACACAAGAACAATACATTATTTCCATATTTTTGGATTGACAATTGTTAAGGTCAGAAATGTTTGTTTACCCGTGGAATAGATCATTAGGATAGTGGCAAATGTTCATAGGCCATAGGACATGACAGACATTAGCCTAAACCTAAAAGAAACTAAACAAACTAAACTCTAACCAGTGAAAGATTTCCATTTAAAAACAAAGAAACTATTTTCATTTTAGTTCTCAAAAAATACTTAGAAAAGTAGAAATTACTGGAGTTTAGATGACAATATATTGAAGCTCAAAACAAAAATAAAATTTAACTCCTAACATGCATACACACGCATGCACATAAAAAACTCACGTGTGGCCGGGCACGGTGACTCACGCCTGTAATTCCAGCACTTTGGGAAGCCAAGGTGGGCGGATCATGAGGTCAAGAGATCGAGACCATCCTCGTCAACATGGTGAAACCATGTCTCTACTAAAAGTACAAAAATTAGCTGGGCGTGGTGGCGCATGCCTATAGTCCCAGCTACTCAGAAGGCTGAGGCTTGAGAATCATTTGAACCTGGGAGGTGGAGGTTGCAGTGAGCTGAGATTGCACCACTGAACTCCAGCCTGGCGACAGAGCCAGACTCTGTAAAAACAAAAACAAAAACAAAAAACACCTCATGTGCACATGCAAATGCACACAAGTATAGATGGAGGCATCTATCAGTAAATACACGTATTACTCAGACCTGGTGGGTTATCTCCATGGCCTGTCCAAAATCCTTGGGGATTATAATCCTATCCACCAAATTCTTCCTCTGTGTTGATTTAGATTTTCTAAAAAGAGAATGATACTTAAATTGATAACTATAATTTGGACAGATTAACATAGCAAAGTAAAATATTTTGAAAAATAATTGCTTAACCATAATCATTTTTTTAGTAATTTTATTTTGAAATTCTTGTGGACTCCTAAGTTTTCTCCATTGTCATCTTCTACATGACTGTAAACAAGGTGGAGGTGTTTGAGACATGGTAGGCCTTTCATTTTGTTTTTATTTTTGCTTTTTAGCAATTATGGTGATAAACTGCCTTGAATCCTTGGGCTGAAAAGCAAAATGTTTTGAGATGCTTAGAGTTTTAAGGAATTAGATCTGAATTTGAAGAAGGCATTATACCAATGCTCACTGATATGGTTTGAATCTGTGCCTCTGCCCAAATCTCATGTCAAATTGTAATCCCCAGTACTGGAGGTGGGGCCTGGTGGGAGGTGACTGGATCATAGGGGCGGTTTCTCATGAATGGTTTAGAACCATCCCCTTGGTAATCTTCTAGTGATAGTGAGTTCTAAGGAGATCTGATTGTTGAAAAGTGTGTGGCACCTCCCTCCACATTGGTCCTGCTCCTGCCATGAGAGACATCTGGCTACTGCTTTGCCTTCTGCCATGATTGTAAATTTCCTGAAGCCTCTGCAGAAACTGAGCAGATGCCAGCATCATGCTTCCTGTACAGTCTGTGGAACCATGAGCCAATCAAACCTCTTTTCTTTACAAATTACCCAGTCTCAGCAGGGTGCACTGGCTCACAGCTGTAATTCCAACATTTTGGGAGGCAGTGGCATTCCTCACTTGAGGTCAGGAGTCCAAGACCAGCCTGGCCAACATGGTGAAACCCCACCTCTACTAAAAATACAAGAATTAGCCTGGCATGAAGGTGCCACCTGTAATCCCAGGTGTGCACCTGTAATCCCAGCTACTCAGGAGGCTGAGGCAGAAGAATTGCTTGAACCTGGGAGGCAGAGGTTGCAGTGAGCCAAGATCATGCCACTGCACTCCAGCCTGGGCAACAGAGCAAGTCTCAAATAAATAAATAAATAAATAAATAAATTTATAAAATAAATTACCCAGTCTCAGGTATTTCTTGATAGCAATGAGAGAATGAACTAATATACTCACTCACTATTTCTTCAATGAGAGTACTAATCTTTGTGCTGGTAAAGAAAATAAAATATTTTCAAGCCAAAAGCATGAGATTTGGGAGAAATATAAATTTATACCAGAAATATATAGTAAATTTTTCTTACAAATTGATATTTAATAAAATTTGCATAGATTTTTATCTCCTATGTGTCAAATTTCATAAAGTATATATATATATATATATATATATATATATATATATATATATATTTTTTTTTTTTTTTTTTTTTTTTGAGACAGAGTCTCGCTCTGTCGTCCAGGCTGGAGTGCAGTGGCGCGATCTCGGCTCACTGTGCGCTCTGCTTCCCGGGTTCACGCCATTCTCCTGCCTCAGCCTCCAGAGTAGCTGGGATTACAGGTACCCGCCACCACACCCAGCTAATTTTTCTATTTTTGGTAGAGACGGGGTTTCACCATGTTAGCCAAGATGGTCTCGATCTCCTGACCTCGTGATCCGCCTGCCTCGGCCTCCCAAAGTGCTGGGATTACAGGCAGGAGCCACCGTGCCAGGCCCATAAAGCATATTTTAAAAATAAGTGATTTTAATTAAAATAAGAAACTTGAATTCAGACCAGTATTTAAATCCAATCCCAGAAATGAACATTAGCTACCGAGAGGCAAAAATATTTAAGGAATCAAATGGGCCTAGAAATATTTAGTGTTTTGCCTTGGATAACTGCATTATTTGCAATGAACCTTCAAAAATCATGTAGTAGGTAATCCTGGTTAACCTAAATTAAATTGTACCCAGATTGATAGCACCTGCCCATTTTCTAGATAATGGCAGCCATCCACTGAGGAGAGGAACTGCCTACCATGACTGGGAAGAGTGAATGAGAACTTTATTGTAAAAACTCAAAGTACCCAGTGAAGTTTGAGATAATATTTGAGTCATTCATTCATTCATTCATTCTTTTAACACATATCCAGCGTCTTGTATGCGCCCAGGCACACAATATTCTAGCAAGAAGTTTTATAAAAGTGAGTAAGATAGATTAAAAATTCCTGCTCTAGTTTTATTTGCAATGCATTTAGGGGAAACATTTTTTTAAAGTAAGGCACAGGTGAAAAATTCTGGGGAGATGGGCTGGGCACGGTGGCTCACGCCTGTAATCCCAGCACTTTGGGAGGCTGAGGAGGGCGGATCACAAGGTCAGGAGATCGAGACCATCCTGGCTAACATGGTGAAACCCTGTCTCTATTAAAAATATAAAAGAAGTTAGCCGGGCTTTGTGGCGGGCGCCTGTAGTCCCAGCTACTTGGGAGGCTGAGGCAGGAGTGAGTCGAGATCGCGTCACTGCACTCCAGCCTGGGCGACAGTGTGAGACTTTGTCTCAAAAAAAAAAAAAAAAAAGAGTGATGTGATTGGATCAGTTAGTGTGAGTGGAGGATGTAGAGACAGGAGGGTGAGAGGGGAACCTGTAGGAAGAGGATTCCTCTCACTCCCATCTGTGGCCAGAGCATCCCTGCCCCCACTCTGAGCGCACTCCCCCGCCTCTGCTTTGCTTCAGTCACTTGCATGGTTAGAAACCGCATTTTACGCCGACCGCGGTGACTCACGTCTGTAATCCCAGCACTTTGGGAGGCCGAGGTGGGCGGATCACGAGGTCAGGAGATCGAGACCATCCTGGCTAACACGGTGAAACCCCGTCTCTACTAAAATACAAAAAATTAGCCGGGCTTCCTGGCAGGCGCCTGTATTCCCAGCTACTCGGGAGGCTGAGGCAGGAGAATGGCGTGAACCCGGGAGGCGGAGTTTGCAGTGAGCTGAGATCACGCCACTGCACTCCAGCCTGGGCGACAGAGCGAGACTCCGTCTCAAAAAAAAAAAAAAAAAAAACCCCATTTTACCTTAGGCTCACGGGGCACAGACTAGGTCAAATGAGCATTCCATTTTCGTTTTTAAATGTCTAATGTTCTTTCATACAGCACCCTTGGTAAATATTTTATAAAGAGGATTAGAATATGTATTGTTACTAAACAGACAATATGTAGTGGAGGAACACTCTTTCTCAATATTAGCTAATAAATATGTATTTTTAATAAGCTGATTAAGGCTTTGTTAGTTTCTCAATGATAACATCGGGCCCATGGTTCTCAATCAGGGTATGATTTTGCCCCTCAGAGGACATTTTGCAATATCTGGAGGCATTTTCAGTTATTATAAGTGGGGCTGGGTGGATGCTGCTGGCATCTCATGGAGAGAGACCAGAGATGCTGTTAAACATCCTATAATGCACAGGACAGGCCCCCACAACACAGAATTATCCAGCCTAAAATGTCACTAGTGCTGAGGGTGAGAAACTCTGACACATCGATTCAGTGATGTTCTGGCAACAGCCAATAAAGTCAGCAATTAAAAATTTGTATTGTAGGGCCAGGCGCGGTGGCTCACGCCTCTAATCCCAGCACTTTGAGAGGCCAAGGTGGGCAGATCACGAGGTCAAGAGATGGAGACCATCCTGGCCAACATGGTGAAACCTGTCTCTACTAAAAATACAAAAATTAGCTGGGCATGGTGGCATGCGCCTGTAGTCATACTCGGGAGGCTGAGGCAGGAGAATATCTTGAACCCAGGCAGTGGAGGTTGTGGTGAGCCGAGATTGCACCACTGCACCCTAGCCTGGTGGCAGAGCGATACTCTGCCTCAAAAAAAAAAAAAATTCATTGTATGAATATTCAAAATTATACATGATTGTAATTATAATTGAGTCATGAAGGCTGAAAATAAAGATAAATGAATCAAGCTTCATTTAAGTAGCAAAATGAAAGCCTCCCCATCCTCCATTATCGAACCAAGAGGAAGCATTTTACATTCCAATATTTTCAATAAGAGTGTTTTATTTTTGGTCGTTCATGAATAGCAAATAATTGATCTTACAGTCGGCATTAAATAAAGAAAGTTGGTCAGAAAAGCAACCCACTTAATCACCCTCGAACACAAATTTTGCAAATTGTCCAAGTCATTCAGGTAAAATATTTATTTTAATAAAATCTCTATTATTTTCACTGGAACAAGACAAGCCTTTCTTTTTCTGGAAGCATCTACCCCTCTTTCAGATTATACATATTTTAAAATAAATGAAACAACGTGGTTGCTATCTCAGTAGCTTTGGATCATGTGCCTGGCACTCTGCATGCAGCAATAACCTGTGTGGTTTCCTTGGGTAAAACTGAAAGCATATTTAATTTTTTAAAAGTTTCTTCTCTAATTTAAATCAAAATCTGCTTTTTCTATCAAACTTGTACATTTTACTGTACCATTTTTTTCTCAGCAAAGAATAGCTTTGATTCATGAATTTATCAGATTTATTGGAGATTTGGAGGGACTTGATGGTCACAGTTTAGAAACAAGTCATAAAGCCCTTAGCGATCCCTAACTTAATATTCTATGCTGATGATTGCAGAATGTGTAATAATCAAAACGGTAAATAAACTTTAAGTTTTAAGCCTCTTGGGTTTGGGGTTTGTTTGTTGGTATTGACAAAGATTGCTTGGTGAAACCTTAGTGAGTCAGCATCCTGAACCTTCTCCTAGGCCCATCTATGTATGTCTTTGTAAAATCCAGTTTGAGCAAAAATCCCCGCTAAGTCAATTTAGCAAGCACCCCCATGCTGGATATCTGATCATCCTCCATATGAAATCAGGGTCTGCATCTTCCACTGTCCCCCAGGTGAGGTCTGATCACCCCCATCTGGCTTCGGCAGATTTAACCAGAATCCCCCTCACCCCTAATATTTCCTTCCTCTTAGTAACTTTTTATCCACTGACTCCCACACTGCTCCATAGCTACAAATTCCCACCTGCCCATGCTGTATTCAGGGTTAAGCTCAGTCTGTCTCCTCTCCTGCAATATTCTATTGCCTTGATGAATTTGTTAATTAAACATGACTTATTCATTTCACAATGTAAACATATATCAGAACATCACATTGTATCCCACACATATATGCAACTGTTATTTATACATTAAAAATAAGATTTTAAGAAGTCTAAAAACTAAAACACACACACAAAAATTTAGGAAACAGCACACACACACACAATGGTAACTATATGAAATGATGGTTATGTTAATTATGTTGACTATGGTAATTATTTTACCATGTGTACATATACCAAATCACTATGTACCTTGAGTATATGTAAATTCGTATTTGTCTGTTACACTTCAATAAAGCTGGAAAAAAAATAGCAAACTGAATCCAACACTGTGTGAAAAGAATTATACACCATGACTAAGGGAGATTTATTCTGAGTATACAAGTGATAGGGACAGGATGCAGGGAAATTCTGGGCAGAAGAGGGTGGGGCCCTCATGGGGGACCCCCATGAGGGCCCCACCCTCAAGCCAAAAAGCCTCTGGACCACGGCCCAAAGTGAAAACTTACATCCCTGTTTTCCCCCTCGAATGTTGCCTTTTCCTAAACCACCCATGGCTCCACCTCCCATCCTGTGCCTATAAAAACCCCAGAGCTCAGCCGGCAGAAAGAGGAGATGCAGCTGGACATTGGAGACTACGGCTAGACATCGGAGAGAAGCAGCTTGACTTCAGAGGGACATTAGAGAGAAGCAGCTTGATGGTGTAGCTTTGGAGAAGAGTCGGCTGGGGACAGCCAGACTCCAGGGGAAGATTACCTTCCTGCTCTGACCCCTTTTCAGCTCCCCTTCCTATTGAGAGCCACTTTCAATGGCAATAAAATCCCCCACATTTACCATCTTCAATTTCTCTGTGCAACCTCATTCCTCCTGGATGTCAGACAAGAACTCAGGTGCCCTGAGTGTGGGTGCAAAAGGGTGTCACACTGACCCTGCACTGAGCTGTTAACACTTTAGCCCTCCATGAATGGCAAAGCTAAAAGGGCACTGTAACACTTTCTCTGGGGGTTCAGGGGTCACGGGAACCCTCCCCTAGATGCTGCCACAGAGTCAGTACAGAGTTTACTCTTGCTGGTGCCCAAAAGCACTTGCCCCAGCTCCTACACCTACACCTGCACTCCCCCTCCGGCGAGGGGTGGAGCAGCAAGTGAATGGAGTTCGCCCCTGCAGGCACTCATGCACTCCAGTTCCTACCCATGAAAGGGTCAGGGAAATATACTGCTTTACAAGTTTGACTCAACATTTGAAAATCATTTAATGCAACCCATCATATCAACAGCCTGAAGAAAATGAACCATATGTTCATTAAAAAAAGGAAACAGAAGATCTGAATAGATATCTCACCAAAGATGTTATACATGTGGCAAATAAACATTTATAAGTTGCTCAACATCAAATGTCATTAGTTAATTACAAATTAAAACAGTATTGAGAAGCTATACACCTATTAGAATGGGTATAATAAAAAAAACCTGACAATACCAATTTCTGACAAGGATATGGAGCACCAGAAGCTGTCATTCATTCCTGGTGGGAATGCAAAATGATGCAACCACTTTGGAACACAGTTTGAGTCTTGCCAAATGATTCAACGATTTCACTCCTAGGTATTTACCTAAATGGGTTGAAAATACATGTCCACACAAAAGCTGCATATAAATGCTTATTGCAGCTTGATTCATAATTGCCAAAAATTGGAAGGAACCAATCATCATTCAAATTGTGTAAGGGTAAACAAATTTGGTATGTACACACTGAAATATTAGTCAGCAATAAAAAAGTTAATCATCAAGCCATGAAAATACATGGCAAAACCTTAAATGCACACTGCTCAGTGAAAGAAGCCAGTCTGAAAAGATGATATACTGTATGATTTTAATGATAAGGGATTCTGGAAAAGGCCAAATTCTAGAAACATTAAAAAATCAGTCATTGTCAAGTTGTAGGTGCAGAGGAGGAAAGGTATTGATTTAAAATTGTAATATAAAATTTATACAAATAACTAGTGTGGACTATTGCATCCTACCCTAGTTACCACCACTGTTAACATTATTCAGCTGCTCTTTTTCCCTGTCCAGGTCCCATGCCCATATCTACTGTGACAGTCACAGTAGAACCTCTTGAGGTAGGCCAGCTTCAGCATGACCTGTTTCTCTAGGATGTCGGCATGCAGCTCTGTCTATTACAATGGTGTAATACCTACATGGCAGGCATTTGGCATGAGGAAAGTGTCCCAACTTAAACAAAAGTGTCTGGCAGGCTTATGTCAGAGCAGAAAATCCCCTTTTCAAATCAGAGAATTTCCCAATTTAAAGTTATTTCATCATAGCCTGTCGAGGCCAGATGACATCATAGGTCTCCTCATTCAATCGCTTCATGCTGTGGATGAAGGGACTGAGTCTACAGAAGAGTTGGGTTATCTTCCCTTGCTTTTCATATGATGGAATCTTTAGTCATGCCTGAGTCCAGTGAGTGACTTTTGGGTTCTGAAAGGCTGAACTTCTACCCACAGGATGCTTGGCCTAATAAACAGAAGATTCAGGAGATTGACAACCACATTATGTTTTTTCTTAGCTTCATTCAGCACTGCTTTTTAGTCCATGCTTCAGTTTTCTCAGATCATTCTTAGCCTCAAACACTGGAGGTTAAGTATCTCCAAAAGGCACTCCTGGTTCAATTCCTAATTCCCCTACAGAATTCACTCCCCATTCAATAAATCTTCACCCAGTGTCCAACTGTGTGCCAGACACTATGCTGGGTACTTTGATGGAGCAGTGAAGAAACAGACATGGGGCTATTATATCTGCTATCTGGCCAGGCACGATGGCTCACACCTACAGTCCCTAGCACTTTGGGAGGCCAAGGTGGGCAGATCACTTCAGGTCAGGAGTTCAAGACCAGCCTGGCCAACATGATGAAACCCTGTCTCTACTAAAAATACAAAAAATTGGCCGGATGTGGTAGCAGGCGCCTGTAATCCCAGCTATTTGGGAGGCTGAGACATGAGAACCTCTTGAACCCGGGAGGCAGAAGTTGCAGTGAGCCAAGATTGTGCCATTGCACTCCAGCCTGGGTGACAAAAGCAAGAGTCCATCTCAAAAAAAAAAAAAAGTTATTTATCCAGTGAAGGAGAGACAATAACAAGGAAACAACCTGGTAAACAAGCAAGTGTAAATGATTTTCAGTGCTGTAAGGAAATGGTTGTAGTGAGACTATGGACAGGGTGTTGGCATCTTCCTAGAGTCAGGCAGCTTGTGTCCAAGAAAGCAGAGCCGGGGGCATGTAAACAAAATTGTGTTTATTTAAGGTATACAGGCCTGGCGCAGTGGCTCATGCCTGTAATCCCAGCACTTTGGGGGGCCAAGGCTGGCGAATCACCCCAGGTCAGGAGTTCGAGACCAGCCTGGCCAGCATGGTGAAACCCCATCTCTACTAAAAATACAAAAATTAGCTGGTCGTGGTGGTGGGTGTCTGTAATCCCAGCTACTCAGGAGGCTGAGGCAGAATTGCTTGAACCCAGGAGGGGGAGGTTGCAGTGAGCCGAGATCTCACCACTGCACTCCAGCCTGGGCAACAAAAGTGAGACTCTGTTTCAAAACAAAACAAACATCAAAAAAGGTATACAATCTGATGTTTTGATACACATATACATTGTGAAATGATACCACTACCAAGCTAATGAACATATGCATCACCTCAAATAGTCACCATTTGTGTGTGTGGTGTGCGTGTGTGTGTGTGTGTGGTGAGAACATCTGAGAGCTGCTTTCAGCAGATTCCAAGTATATAATACAGTATTAACTATAGTCACCATGCTGTAAATAAAATCTCCAGAAATTATTTATCCTGTATAACAGAAACTTTGTACCCTTTAGCCAACATCTCCCCGTTTTTCCCATCTTCTGTCCCCTGGTAACTATCATCCTACTGTCTACATCTGTAGGTTTCACTTTTTTTTTTTCCTTTTTAGATTGCATCTATAAGTAAGATCATTCAGTATTTGCGTTTCTGTGCCTGGTTTAGTTCACTCACTATAATGTCCTCCAGATTCATCCATTGTCACAAATGAGAGGATTTCCTTCTTTTCCAAGACTGAATCATATTCCATGGTACACATATACTACATTTTATTTATCCAGTGACTTGTCGACAGACACTCAGGTTGTTTCCATATTTTAACTATTATGAATAATGTTGTATTGAATATGGGAGTGCAGATATCTCTTCGAGATAGTGATTTCTTTTCCATTGGATATATAACCACTAGTGGTATTGCTTAATGATATGGTAGCTTATTTTTAATTTTTTGAGAAACCTGTTTTGGAAGAACCAGTCATCACAGAAACCTACACTGTTTTCCATAATGGGGGTACTAAGTTACATTCTCACCAACAGTGTACAAGGGTTCCCATTTCTCCACACCTTCATCAACACTTATCTTTAATCTTTTTTATAATACCCATTCTAGATTATGAAATTACACCTCGCTGTGGTTTGATTTACATTTTTTTCTGATGACTAGTGATTTTGATATATCAATATATTGATATTGATATAATACAAATATATTATAAAATTTTTTCATACATTTGTTGGCCAAATAGATATATCCTTTGGAGAAATGTCTACTTAAGTCCCTTGCCCATTTTTAAAACTGGGTTATTTGTTTTCTTGAAATTGAGTTGTTTGATTTTAGTATATATGTTGGATACTGACCCCTCACCAAATGTATGGCTCACAATATTTTCTCCCATTCTATAAATTGTTTCTTCACTTTGTTGATTATTGCCTTTGCTATGAAGAAGTTTTTTGGTTTGATGTAATCCCATTTGTCTATTTTTGCTTTTGTTGCCTTTGCTTTTGGAGTCGTATCCAAAAATTTATTCCACAGAATAATGTTAAGAAGGTTTTCCCCCAGTATTTTTACATTGTTAGGTGTTTAAGTTTTTAATCCATTTTGAGTTGATTTTTGCATGTGGTGTGAGACAAGGGTCCAATCTCATTCTTCTGCCTGTAGATATCCAGTTTTTCCTACACCTTTTGCTAAAGAGACTATGTTTTCCATTCTGGGTTCTTAGCACCTTTGTTAAAGATCAATTTACTGTAATTGTATGGATTTATTTCTGAGCTCTCTGTTCTGTTAAATGGTCTATACCTCTGATGAATGCCAATACCATCATGTTTGATTGCTATAACTCTGTAATATATTATAAAATTAGGTAATATAATTCATTCAGTTTTGTTCTTCTTGCTTAAAATTGCTTTATTTGGGATCTTTTGTGGTTCCGTATAGGTTTTTGGGTTTTTTTTTGAGATGGAGTTTCGCTCTTGTTGCCCAGGCTGGAGTGCAATGGCGCAACCTCTGCTCACCACAACCTCAGCCTCCTAGGTTCAAGCAATTCTCCTGCCTCAGTCTCCTGAGTAGCTGGGATTACAGGCATGTGCCACTATGCCCGGCTGATTTTGTATTTTTTTGTTAGTAGAGACAGGGTTTCTTCATGTTGGGCAGGATGGTCTCGAACTCCCGACCTCAGGTGACCCACCTGCCTCGGCCTCCCAAAGTGCTGGGATTACAGGCGTGAGCCACTGCGCCTGGCCTCCATATAAGTTTTAACATTGTTATTTCTATTTCTGTGAAAAATGCCATTGGAAGTTAGATAAATATTTCATTGAATCTGTAGATCATGGTGAGTAGTATGAACATTTTGACAATATTAATTCTTTCAATCCATTATCACAGGGTATTTTCATTTATTTGTGTCTTATTTCTTCCATCAATATTTTATAGTTTTCAGTGTATATACCTTTTACCTTATTGATTAAATTTATTTTTTTAATTTTTAAAGTTATCTATTAAATTTATTTCTAAGTATGTGTTAGGGATTTTTATATATTCGATCATGTCATCTGCAAAGAGAGACAATTTAACTTCTTTCTTTCCAAACTGGATACCTTTTATTTCTTTTTCTTGTTGACTAGGATACCCATTTGTATGTTGAATAAAAGTGGTAAGAGTGGGCATCCTTGTCTTGTTCCTGATGTTAGAGGAAAAGTTTTCAACTTGATTATACAGTGTCTTGGTGATGATCTCTTTATGTTTAATCTATTTGAAATTCTTTGAACTCATTGGCCTGGATTTTCATTTACTTCTCCAGATTTGGGAAATTTTCTGTTATTTTCTTAAAGAAGGCTTTTTCCTCTTTCTCTTTCTCTGTTCCTTCTAGGACTTTCTTAATGCATATTAGGTTTGCTTGATGGTGGCCCATAAATCCTGTCGGTCTTCTTCACTCTTTTCATTCTTTTTTTCTTTTGTTCCTCTGACTGGTTAATTTCAAATAAGCAGTGTTTGAGGTCACTGCCTCTTTCTGCTGCTTTATCAAGTTTGCTGTTGAAGATCTCTGAAATTTTTCAGTTCAGTCATTATGTTCTTCAGCTTCAGAATTTCTGTTTGGTTATTTTTTATGTTTTCTCTCTGTCACACTTTTCATTTTATTCACACATTGTTTTCCTGATTTTGTTTGGTTGGCTGTGTCTTCTTGTGTAGTTCATTGAGCTTCTTCAAGCCAATTAGTTTGAATTCTTCTTCAGGAAGTTCATAGATCTCCATTTCTTTAGATTGGTTATGGGTATTACATTATTTTTGTGATGTCATGTTTCCCTGATTATTTATGTTCCTTGTGGCTTTGCCTTGGTGTATTCATATTTGAAGAAGTAGGCACCTCTTACAGTCTTTACAGACACTTCAGTGGGAAATCCTTTTACCAGTCAGCTTGTCCAGAGATTCTGGGAAGGCCAACTGGAATGGTCCATGGGTGGGATTATTTTAGGGGGCTGGCCTGGTGCCTGGGTCAGTGGGCATGTGGGCCTGGCTCTTGAGTCTGCAAGGGTTGGCCTGGTGCCTTGGCCTGTGGGGGCAGGCCTATAGCCCCAGTCCACTCAGTGGACTATGAGCATGGGTCTACATGGGTGGGTCTGGATTCTGGGTCTGTGGGTGTGGACTGGCTCCTGGGTCTGAGGTGACTGGCCTGGTACCAGAGCCCACGAGAGTAGACTTGGTCTTCAGGGATAGGCCTGGAGCCTGAGTCCATAAGGCCAATCTGGCACCGGGAAGGGCCTTGAGCCTGAGTTCATAGGGGATATTCTGGTACCGGGCGGGCCCAGAACCTGAGTTTATGAGGCTGGGTTCAGCATAGAATCTATGGCAGCAGCCTGGCCCTAGGGTCAACTGAGACAGGCCTCATATCTGATTCCATTGGGAAAAGCCTAGTACCTAAGACCATGAAAACAGGCCTGGAATTGGGTCCATAGGGGTTGGCCTTATGTTGGAGCCTGGAGCTGCAGGGGCCATCCTGGAGCTTGAAGGTGTGGGTGCCAGCATGGCTCTGGATGGGCCTGTTGCCTGAGGTCATGTGAGCTGGCCTGGGGCCTGGAGGCCACAAGGGCTGGTCTAGATCTTGGGGCCACAGAGGCTAACCTGGTGCAGGTATTGGCCTGCAGCTTGGGGATGCAAAGGTTGACCTGGTGCTGGGGCGAACCTGGAAGCTGAATTGGTGTTGGGGTGAGCCTGGAAGCTAAGTCTATGAAAATGAGCCACATATTGAGACCACAGGGATCAGTCTGGCATTAGGCACACTGGTATTAGGGCACACTGGTACCTGATTTCATGGGAACAGGTCTGGTGCCTGAGACCATGAAGGTGGATCTGTAGCCTGGAACAATGGGACCTGCTTTGTGCCAAGATTCACTGGTAGGAGTCTGGTGCCAAAATCCATGTGAGAGTCAGGCACTCACTTCACTTTCCTTTCCCCATGCAAAAGGTATCTCTCTCTCTACTGTGATGTGTAAGCTTGGGGTAGACGTCACACTGGTAATGCAATACTGTCCTCCTTACCTTATTCAATGTGCCTTTTCTTATTTCTGTACTCTGTCCAGGTGCTATAATCTCTGACCTGGATTCCTTAGCTCTTGCAAAGGTATTTTCATTCATGGATGGTTGTTCAAATTGATTTTTCTGTGAGGAGATGAGTGCTGAAAATGCCTATTTCACCATCTTGCTGATGTCACACTGAAAATTCAAATTCTGTCTTATGATGCTGGTTTATGGATGGCTTTATAGAAACCCGTCCTGTAAAGAGAGAGGGAATTAACACATTCCAAGCAGAGGAAATGGCAATGGATGGAAGAACTCAGTGGGTTCAGGAAACTGAAATAATGGATATAGATCTCCAATATATAGAATACAGAGTGACAAAGAGGCCAGGACAGTTAATGGTGGGGATGGAGTGGGTGGGTGATCAGCCATAGGCAACCTTGAATGTCATGGTCTGTAGGTAAAAACAATAAATGGTCTCATATTTTTAAAATATAAAATGTATAAAATGATTTCAAAAGTCACCAGGTGATAGATGCAATTCTTTAGAAAGGTTATTAAAGCGACTAAATGAGCAAGTTCCAGATTTTAACTGATTCTAGAGGTTTGGATATAAAATGAGATATTTCATATTTGGCCTGCTTGTACTGAACATTTACTGACAGATGTGCTTTTCTTCTGAACTAATTCTACCATGTGTGTGCTAATAAATTTTATGTAAAAACGTGTCCACAGTCAATTACATCTGGTAAACGCTAATTTGAAACAAAAGTCTTCTTTGAACCCTTAACCTGGTAAACATTTAAAATCTCCAAAAATAATGTAGAAATGCAGCAGTTACTACATTTACTTGACCATTGCTAATTCTTTTATTGAAGCATCTTGAAAGATTAGATTTTAGGTCACAATATCTGGGTATTTTTGGTTCTAAGAGATAATAGAGACTGTACAACAACAAATGTCACTATAGGGTATTACTTGTTGTGGTAAACTGTTTCTGTTATTTATTTCCTGTTGAATTAATTTAGAAAATCATATTCTGAAAGAACGCAGTATACACTTTTTATTTTCTGTGGCAGAGTTGGTAGATTGAATAAAGCGACTTATTTGCATGTTGGTTCCAGCAAATGGGGTTGTCACCTGGCTGTGAGAGCAGCAGGAGCTAGCTCAGGCCTGGCATAGAGACAGAGGGCAGGGACTGATCCTCCAGCAGGCAGGAGCCGCTGCTTGCTCTGGCTCACTTTAGTACATTTTAGCAGAGAAATGCCTGCAATCCATATGGATTATAGCAGACAGCACGTTAATTAGGCTCTACATTATGGTGATCAATTATTTTTAAAAATATACCTCAGGCCAGGCTGGACACAGTGGCTCACGCCTGTAATCCCAGCACTTTGGGAGGCCGAGGCGGGCGGATCACGAGGTCAGGAGATCGAGACTATCCTGGTTAACACGGTGAAACCCCGTCTCTACCAAAAATACAAAAAATTAGCCGGGCGTGGTGGCGGGAGCCTGTAGTCCCAGCTACTCCGGAGGCTGAGGCAGGAGAATGGCATGAACCCAGGAGGCGGAGCTTGCAGTGAGCCGAGATCGTGCCACTGCACTCCAGCCTGGGCGACAGAGCGAGACTCCGTCTCAAAACAAACAAACAAACAAAAACCTACCTCAGGCCAGGTGCAGTGGCTCACGCCTGTAATCCCAACACTTTGCGAGGACGAGGTGGAAGGATTGTGTGAGCCCAGGAGTTCAAGACCAACCTGGGCAATAAAGCGAGACCCTGTCTCTACAAAAAATTTTTTAGAAAGTTAGCCAGGCATGGTGGTGCATGCCTATAGTTCCAACTACTAGAGAGGCTGAGGCAGAAGGATCGCTTGAGTCCAGGTGGTCAAGGCTGCAGAGAACCATGGTCACACCACTACACTACATGTCTCATTCTAATGTTACCCAATTTGTTGGCAAAAGCCTGTTAGACGCTTGGTTTTCCTGACTTCAAGGCCCATGTACTTCATCCTTCATGCCCTTGAATCTGCCCTTTTGTATTAGGTTTAATTTGTCATTTGAGCTGACTAAGTTTCAGAAATCTTAGGCAGATTTTAAGTAAACTGAATAAAAAATAGTCCATTCTCTCAAATGTGGATTTTCTTTCTCTAGTTAAAATGGTAGCATTTTCATAGCAGTTTAGTAGAGAAAATAATTTCATAAAAAGGGAGTTTTTTAAAAAATCACATCTCTTTATGAATATAGTGCCATGCCAAAGGCATGTACCTTTTCTCCTAAACTAGGGCTTTTTAGGGTTATATAGAAAGAATCTTCACAGTCTAAAGCATTTTGAGTATGTTGTGGGCCAGAATACATTAACTGATAATTTACTATGCATGAATCAATTGACTAATGTGTCAATGAAGGACAGATAGCAAGCAAACACCTGCCTACTATAATTTATTACTCAATATAAATGAAACTTATCACATTCTCTTTTTCTGATTACCAGGAAAAAAAATCCTTTTAGTTCATTTTGGAAGAAAATTGAAACCTACATTAAAAGCATTATAATTTTTGGTAAAATATACCCTTGAGCAAATATATGATATGAAAAATGTTAATTGTAAGTTGGCTGTCATTCCTACCTAACATGTAGTTTATCTCAACACAAAGCTGAGCAGCCAAGCACAAAGATAATGCTAATTTTTATAGCCATTAATAGTTAATGCTAGAAAAGCTGTCATATTTTGTTTTAAAATATTCCCTAGAATGTAGTATTTCATATCTATGACATTTCATAGGAATACAAAAATGCATACCTCTCAACATTTATAACAACAACAAAATCCTTCAGGTGTGATATTTTGGCAAAAATAAGGAAGAAAGTTCCAACTTTTGAATAAATTAATCTTTAGTACTTTTTCTTATAGTTGAAAAATGAGACAAAAATTCTTGTGTAAGACTAGACAAATATTAAACTGTTTTCACATTTTGTCTTAATTACTCACTTGGTTACATTCCTATTGAAGAAAAAGTATATCAGTGAGTCAGTAAGGCAACAAGATGTCAAAGCATTAATACTACAGAATAAAAAAGCCTAATAAATACAAATGTCCACAGAACTATTTGTACACAAATGTTTATGGCAGCTTTATTTTTAATAGTAAGAAATGAGCCTAGATGTTCATCAACTGTTGAATAGATAAATGATTGTAGTATAACCGTCCAATGGAATAGTAATCCAATATTTAAAAGGAATGAACTATTAATGCAAATGAGTTAATTTCAAAATAAATATGGTGGCCAGGTGTGGTGGCTTATGCCTGTAATCCCATCACTTTGGGAGGCCAAGGCGGGCAGACCACGTGGTCAGGAGATTGAGACCATCCTGGCTTACACATGGTGAAACCCTGTCTTTACTAAAAATACAAAAAATTAGTCGGGCGTGGTGGCAGGCACCTGTAGTCCAGCTACTCAGGAGGCTGAGGCAGGAGAATGGCATGAACCTGGGAGGCAGAGCTTGCAGTGAGCCGAGATCATGCCACTGCACTCCAGCCTGGGCGACAGAGCGAGACTCCATCTCAAAAAAATAAATAAAATAAATAAATACGGTGAGTGAAAAAAGGCAGGCAAAAAGAGTACATACTGTAAAAATTGTATTTCTATGAAATTCTAGAAAATTCAAACCAATCTACAGTGACAGAAAAGAAATAAATAGTTGCCTAAGAAGGAGTGGGTACAAAGTGATTACAAAAACAAACATTGCCAAAGGACAAAGGAAACTTGAGAGTGTGGTGGATGAGTTGCCCTCCTTGAGAGTGGTGTTGGTTTCATGGATGTATGTATGTGCCTATGCTTGTTAAATTGTATACTTTATACGTGTGCAGTTAATTTTACATAAATTTTAACCTCATCAAGCCTGTTAATAAAAGGTTTTTTTTAGATAAATATTAAGGGGAGAAATTGTTCTACCTGTAACCATGGTTGACCAAGATACATTTTCTTGTCACCATTACTAAAATAGTTATAGTGGACATATCTATTTGGATATGTGCTGGCATCTTACTCCCAACATATGTAAATCGTAACTGAAAATAAAGGACTGATTTTTAAAGAATGAGGCTTGTAGTGTGAAGCTAAATGGGCTCTCTAAAACAAAAGGAATGAAACCCCTGATTTGTAGCATTTGCTGATTTCTATTGTGTAAATTCTCTCACCATGGCTTTTATTACAAAGGATATATCTAATACCTGGCTGGTAAAATTCTCAGATAGCTTCTCAGGAACACCTTCTATGACCAGTCAAGGTAAAGCTGAATTTCTTCTACCCATGGGTTACTCTCTTACCTGTGGACCTGCCTTTTCTTCTCAATTGACCTATAACACATTTGTGTTTTTGTTTGAAATAGTCTCCCTATATTGGAATAGAGCCCCTTGGGAGCACTGACTTCAGCTCACGCCTATGTTCCCTTTACCAAGAAGGTCTCAACTCACAAAAGTGTTCAACAATTATTTATTTATTCTCCCAACAAATGTTTTGGACTGGGTGTGGAGTTGGGGGTAAAGAGGTGAGCAAATTAGACATAAATTTGACCTCAAGGAACATATAGTCTATTCAGGGAGAGCTACTTTAATCAAATGCACAAATATTGGCAAAATTAAAGCTGTGATTAGTGATTTTAAAAAGAAATATGATTCATTGGAAGCATAAAATAGCAGAACCTGACTTACTCTAGGGAGTCAGGATTGCTTCTCTGAGGAATGACATTTGAGCTGAGATCTGCAGGATGAAAAAAATTAATGTGAGAGTTTTTGTAGTGAGAAGAGCAATTCAGAAAGTAGAACTGGCTTATGTGAAATCGCTGTGGCAGGAGAGCAAGGAGTGTTGGGGGCCTGAGTGAAGGCTGGTGTGGCACAGTGAGCAGAGTGGGAAGCCCTGTGCATGGTGACTTGGGGGGACACAGAAAGACCGTACAGGATTTTAGAGGCCTAGCTGAGTCTTTGGACTTTATCTCCTGGGCATTGGAATAACCAGAAGTCCTTGACACCACTGAGATAATGGGAATCCATTAACACCATTTTGACCTGTGGATGACATGATCAGGCTTCCATCTCAAAGATAACTGTGGATACATTGGGGATAATAGACAGGAAGGGGTCTGATATGGTTTGGCTCTGTGTTCCCACCCAAATCTCATGTTGAATTGTAGTCCCCAATATTGGAGGAGGAACCTGGTGGGAGGTTATTGGACTATGGAGGCAGATCTCTCCTTGCTGTTTTCATGATAGTGAGTGAGTTCTCACGAGATCTGGTTGTGTGAAAGTGGGTAGCACCTCCCCCTTGGCTCTCTCTCTCCCTTCTGCCAGCCATGTGAAGATGTGGTTGCTTCCCTTTGGCCTTCAGCCATGATTGTAAATTTTCTGAGGCCTCTCCAACTATGCTTTCTGTACAGCCTGTGGAACTGTGAGTCAATTAAACCTCTTTTCTTCATAAATTACCCAGTCTCAGGTAGTTCTTTATAGCAGTGTGAGAACAGACTAATACCAGCATCAAGAGTAGCTGGGCGAGATCAGCTGGCCACATGATGGTGTCACTGTGCCCAGGGAGTTGATGGTGGTTAATACAGATAAATTCTAGAGATAAAATTGACTTGATTAAGAAGACATGAATGTGAGGAAGACAGAAGAGTCAGGAATGTCTTTTAGGCTTCTCAACTGCAAAGATGGCAGTCATTTTTGACTCTGAAATTAAGAATAATCACCAAGAGGGGGTAGGAGGAGAGATGGTGACTTTGGCTTTACATACTGTTCTCATGCTTGCTCTCATGTTATTAGAGTCTACGTTACTGCTCCTGGACAAAATCTTCATCTCCAAATTATAAAAATGTGCTTGGTAAAATGCCTGTTAAATTTGAGAGAGACTACAATTTCCTAACAGCATAGTCTAAAACAGTTCTGAAGAATTACTTTAAAATGTTCCTTATAACCTTCATTATACTACCAAATAGTAATTTATTCATACTTGTCTTTATGACTGACTGGGAGAATTTAGAACTCAAGATTTTAAAAAAAATAATATTTATCATACAGGCTGAATAAAGAAAATGTGGTACATATACACCATGGAATACTATGCAGCCAGAACAAAGAGGAGGATCATGTCCTCTTCAGCAACATCGATGGAGTTGGAGGCCATTATCCTTAGCAAACTAACCCAGAAACCGAAAACCAAATACCGCTTGTTGTCACTTATAAGTGGGAGCTAAATGATGATAACACATGGACACATAGAGGGGAGCAACACACACTGGGGCCTCTCAGAGGGTGGAGAGTGGGAGGAGGGAGAGATTCAGGAAAAATAACTAATGGGTACTAGGCTTAATACCTGGCTGATGAAATAGTCTGTACAACAAACACCCATGACACAAGTTTCCCTATGTGATAAACCTGTACATGTCACACTGAAGTTAAAAGTTAAATAAAATTATCAGGCCGGGCTCGGTGGCTCACGCCTGTAATCTCAGCACTTTGGGAGACCGAGATGGGCAGATCACGAGGTCAGGAGTTCGAGACCAGCCTGGCCAATATGGTGAAACCCTGTCTCTACTAAAAAAATACAAAAATTAGCTAGGCGTGGTGGCAGGCGTCTGTAGTCCCAGCTACTCGGGAGGCTGAGACAGGAGAATCGCTTGAATCTGGGAGGTGGAGGTTGCAGTGAGCTGAGATTGCACCACTGCACTCCAGCCTGGGCGACAGAGAGAATTCGTCTCAAAAAAAAATTATCACCAAGAGATTAAGTCATGGTATGAACAAGTGATATATTGTCTAAAAATACTTCCCTGTAAGATGCTTTAAAATTTTAATTATTAAGTTGCCATCATTTCTATGGGAAAATCTTATATTATTTGACCTAAAGCACAAATACCAGCACTTAAATATGAGTAAGTAAAAGCAGATAAATAATATAATTGCTTTCCATTTACACTCAGGTTAGAGGCAACCTCAGTGATTTGAGGAGGTGGTAGTGATTGGGCTTTTCTATAAAATGTTTATTTAAACATTTATAGAAAATAAAATGCTAAATCAAATAGGATTTAAACTTAACAATAAACAAAATAACTGAATAATTGTGAAGTTTTTATCTTTTATCTCCATGACTTTTGCTCCATGAAGATAGTCAGATACAAACACTATGCCAGTATCAGAAATTAAAATTGTATACTTATTTTACCTTTTGATTTCAATTTTTGAAGGAAAAAAATACGAGGTTACTTCAGAAAAAATGTGTCAAAAAGATGTATTTTTTTGTTTTGCACAATTTTTAATTAGGACAGAAGTAGAAGCTGCTCTTAATAACTTTTCACTGACCCGGAGCCACTTGGAAAAGTCCTACAGAGGTGAAAAAACAAAAAAAACAAAAAAGCAAGAAAACCACACCTCCTCTGAAGTGAGTCTGACATTAAAGACAATTCAAACTCACTCCAACGCAGACATTTAGTGACGCAGACATGACACTTTATTGTGTGTGAGACAGGATGGGTAATGGGAACTGGGGTTAGAATCTCTAAGCAACAATTATGAAAAATGAATTACCGGCTGGGTGCAGTGGCTCACGCCTGTAATCCCAGAACTTGGGGAGGCCGAGGTGGGTGAATCACGAGGACAGGAGATAGAGACTATCCTGGCTAACACGGTGAAACCCCATCTCTATTAAAAATACAAAAAATTAGCCGGGCATGATGGTGGGCGCCTGTAGTCTCAGCTACTCAAGAGACTGAGGCAGGAGAATGGCATGAACCCGGGAGGCGGTGCTTGCAGTGAGCCAAGATCGCGCCACTGCACTCCAGCCCGGGCGACAAAGCGAGACTCCGTCTAAAAAAAATAAAAAGGAAAAGAAGAATGAATTACCACTGGATAAATTAATGAGAATCAGTATAAACTAAAATGTGGGATTCTCATGCTTTGCATTTGTTAACTTTTCCCTTTTACCGCATGTGAATTAACACATCTACAAAGACCACCGAAAAGAATATGCACGGTCATCATTTTATTCATCTATGAAAATTACTTCTGAGGAACTATCTACTAAACATTTTTGTGGACATGTCATAGTATAGTGACTTTAAAAAATCTTTGTTTTCTTAAACTTCCATGCTAAGATAATGTTTCATTCAAAAACTAAAAGAGTGTTCATTAATAGTAATCTAGGTGGGCATGCTATTTCTTTTTATAAAAAATTTTACTACTTATTTCTCAACATTTGAAGAGTGTATTTAGTTTCTGACTATTTAAGAACATGTATACCTGCCCCCTAAGAAAATACATAATCAACATTTTAATGTTGAAATAAATTGTACTGTGTTTTAATTATCAGTCTTGGTCCAAGCGTATCTGCAAATATTTCTTTTATTTAATTAAGTACATCATTCTAATTTTCATATTTCAAGCTCAAACTTTTCCCATATTTCTAGTTTTCTACTGTCATTAGGAACTTTGCATATCCCTATATCTGACACAGTTTCTCAGTAAAGTATTAATACATACAAATAATGCTGGCAACAAAATTCTTTCTGGGTTGAATAAAAACACACCACAAGGCCAGGTGCGGTTGCTCACTAATCCCAGCACTTTGGGAGGCTGAGGCGGGCAGATTACGAGGTCAGGAGATCGAGACCATCCTGGCTAACACAGTGAAACCCCGTCTCTACTAAAAATACAAACAATTAGTCGGGTGGGGTGGCGGGCGTCTGTAGTCCCAGCTACTCGGGAGGCTGAGGCAGGAGAATGGCATGAACCCAGGAGGCGGAGCTTGCAGTGAATCGAGATCGCGCCACTGCACTCAAGCCTGGGTAACAGAGGAGACGCCAGACTCCGTCTCAAAAAACAAAAAACAAAAACAAAAAACAACAACAAAAACATGCACCACAAATGTTCCCAAAGTGTCTGATAATATTGTTATGGTAGTTACGCTTGAAGAAGAAAATGCTAATATTAGAAGAACTGCTCATAAAAGAGAAAACAATGGGAAACATGATAAGAACCACAGTGATGGATTATTAGCAGATCATTTCTCCCAAGCTTTAGGTGAAAGCTTCCTTTGGAGTTACAGTGCAAGCGGGCAGGTAAATACTAGGGGTCCTAACAATAGCAGAGAACTGAGAGCAAAATAGCCTCTCACACATTTTCTCAAAAAAGATGTACATCTGAAACTTGCTTGGGGCCTTCTCAAGATAACACCTACAATCTTAATCCACACCTAAATTATCAAATTCAGTAAGTAGCTTTCCTGAATCTCAATTTCAGTTTTCCTGTGCATAGAAAATGCTCAAATTCCAAGTCCGTATTTTCCATGTCCTGAGAAAAGCAGATGTCAGGAGGGTGTGGGGTGACTCACGGGTTAAAATCTGGGTAAGCAGCAGGATAGGGGCAGCTAATGAGCGAGGGATTTTGGAGCAAGAATGCCTGTTCTGTGAAGTGAGGGCCGGGCGAGTGAAGATGCATAGACTAGACAGGAGAGACAGGGTCTCTGTGGTCCCCTCACGGTGCCACACGTCCTCCTGGATTTCTGAAATGGGGAATGTGGAGCGTTGAGGTCCAGGGGTATCCAGGGGCCTTATATATTCTATAGATATAAAGGGATAGAATTCTTAATCAATTGTTATACTTGCCTCTCTATTACAGAAATCTGCAATGACAGCTTTACTGATTTCTGTTTTGAATCCATTTAACCCCTGAGATCGAAAACATTTTGCTGGCCTTAAATGACCGTCTACAGAAAGCTTTAATAAATAAATTCTACTGAAGTCTGCACAGTTCTCCTACCCATACCAAGTGTGAATTTTTGTATGTATGTTGAATGTGAATATGTTACAAGATTATCTAGAAAAATCTGGACTATCTATAACAACCTTCCCAGATTATATGGGAAGAAGAGGGCTAGTCTGCCGGAATGGTGCTTCCAGAGCAGTGTATGTCAGTCATGTGGACTCACTCCGCAGCATCCTTGGGCCCAGCTCCTGCTGCAGGCTCTGGAGGGATGCAGGACACTATGGCCCAAGGCCTGCCTCCCGTTCTTTGGGACCTCACAACCCTGCTGGGGAGACCTGAAACCCCACCTCCAAAGACAGCAGAGCCTGGACTGACTGAGGGTCTGGCTCTCCCTCTGCTTCTCTGTGAAACAGTACTAATCATTTCATGTCTCTGGGAATTTTTCTGTTAAATAAAGGACCAGATTTCATGATTAGCAGGATTCTTTCAAACTCCAAAATTCTCTTTCTATGAGGGCAAGACAGCATATAATAAAATTTCACAGTATGATAATGTAGGGGTAGAAAAGATGTGAAATCTTTCCTTACCCATCATAAAGGTCACAGGCGACACTCCTATAACAAAAGACAGGTTAGCAAAAGTAATGCATGATACATTTATTTAATCAAAGTTTTACATGACATGGAGTCTTCAGAAATGAAGACCCAAAGACCCAGGGGAAACTGTCTATTTTAATGCTTAGGTTCAATGAAGAATGGGCAGCCACGTGAAAAGGTGATTGGACATCTCTTCAGATTCTTCTTGGCCTTTCTGTATGACATTCCTTTCCTTCGGTGTAAAGCAGGACCGCTCTGGAACCAGGGTCTTGTGATCTGCTATCAAACAAGGTAGGTCAGAGAATTTCTTCATGGCCAGCTGCCACACGGAAAGGCAAGGAAGGTTAGAGTGATATTTCCAGGGTGTCACGGCTTGCTTTGGGCAAGAAGAATTCTGGTTTCCAGGACTCACTTCAGGGGAAAAGTAGGGGGTGGGAGACAGGGAGGCAGGAGGTCAGAGGGAAACTTGGCTTCTGGGGCCTTCAATCTCCTATAGTTCAAAGCACTCTGGATGCCAAAGCATCATACTTTGGAGTATAATTTTATGAGCCCCAGCAATAACAGTCTTTGTGGGAACTCAGAGAATGGGGAGGATGTGTGAGCTGAAAAAGAATGAAGGAAGAGACGTCAACTAAAGTCAGCTTTTACCCACGTGGCAAGCATCGTTCTCTTTGGTTTTATGGAACAACAGTTGTGAAACTGGGCAACTTTCAGACAAACCATTTCATTCCTTCAGTAAATATCTAAGCTCTTATTATTGTCTTAAGGTTCAAAACAGGTCTCCCCATCCCATCTGGCCCCTAAAAAGGATATGTACTTAGTTAAAGAATACAAGACAGGGAATTTGAAGAATGACATTTTCCCCCCAAAGGCCAAATTTCTAACTTTGTGGTTCTTTCTAATGAGCTGTCTGTAGCTCAAGCCATACCCCTAGCAGCTGGATGATAAAAAAGGCTGTTTATTTGATCTTCAGACTGGAGAGGAGCACTAGTGATTTCTTTCCCTGCTTTACTGGCCCTGAGAAGAATACAACTTCATGCTTGCACTCTGATTAGCAGCAGGTAGAAGAAAAAAGCTAATGTTAGAACTTTTCCCCTGTCCCTGATGCTCCAGACACTGATTCAGCAGAGGTAAAAGGAACCGTTTTCATTGTTCAGAGCTATAGATTTATGAAAATTGCTTCTTTTGATAGGCAGCCAGGCATGAAGCAGCCTTCTGCTTCTAGTCTCAAAAAAAAAAATAATACTGAGGGCTAATGATGTAAATCGAAGATATTGCCATATTTCCTGGATTTGGATCTCATTGCTACTCCTAGAGCAAAGAATGGTTCCTATGACTGAAGACAGAAACCATACAATGCATTCAACATTCTGTCTTTGGTAATCCCTGAAAGCCACACTAGAAATTTAGGATTGTGTTAGCTGTAGGAAGGAAATCTGAAGTTCCCATGGAGAGAGGCAAGTCAAAGTGCAAATGTTGAAGCTGCCGTTTTTCTCCATCAGCTTTCTTGGGAATTGAGGTAGAGACTTAAAACTGTTTTCACTAATGGCTCTTTAGTGCATCATAGTGAGTTTTTTATTCTTCCCATTAGAACTGAAAAATCTAACATGCTGCTGCCTTCACACCTCGTTTTCTGTCTTCATTAGGAAAGTAAATAGTGGCATGCAGGAAGCCTGGTGTAGACTAAATCCTACTTGCCAGGAGGCTCTGCTGAGGTGGCTATTTAGAGGAAGAGAAAGAGCCCTGGACCCCAACTCAGAGGAAGAGTCAGGGCTATGTCTCCAATAGGATGGGAGCGGCAACAGATGGCTTTGCACTTCTGGGTCACGGGACTTCATCTGTGAAATGAGAGGGTGGGAGTGGGCAATTCTTGCAGGAATTTCCCCTACTATTAACATCTCCTGGTACATTTGTTACAATTGATGAGCCAATACTAATACACTATTATTAAGACCGTAGTTTACATTAGGGATCACTCTTTGTATTTTACATTCTATAGGTTATGAGAAACACACAATGACACATATCCATCATTACAGTATCATACAGAATACTTTCACCACCCAAAAAAATCCTCTCTGCTCCACCTATTCATCCCTCCCTTCCCCCAGAGGTCCTAAAGTATGTAGCCTTTTTGGATTGACTTCTTTCACTTAACAACTTATATCTAAGTTTCCTCAATGTCTTTACATGTCTCTGCTAGCTCATTTCTATTTATCACTGCATAATATTTGGTTGTCTGAATGTACCACAGGTTATTTATCCATTTAGCTATTAAAAGTCATCTTCCAAGTCTTGGCAATTATGGACAAAGCTGCTATAACCATCTGTGTGCAAGTTTTTGTTGAACATATCTTTGTTTTCAATCTCTTTGGGTAAGTACCAAGGACTGCAATTGCTGAAACATGTGGTAAGAGTATGTTTAGTTTTGTAAGGTACTGTCGGCCTGGCGTGGTGGCTCACGCCTGTAATCCCAGCACTCTGGGAGGCCCAGGCAGGTGGATCACGAGGTCAAGATGTCGAGACCATCCTGGCCACCATGGTGAAATCCCATCTCTACTAAAAATACAAAAATTAGCTGGGCATGGTGGCACGCACCTGTAGTCTCAGCTACTCGGGAGGCTGAAGCAGGAGAATTGCTTGAATCCAGGAGGCGGAGGTTGCAGTGAGCTGAGATCGCGCCACTGCACTCCAACCTGGCAATAGAGCAAGACTCCGTCTGAAAAAAGAAAGAAAGATACTGTCAAACTGTCATCTAAAGTGGCTATACTATATTGCATTCCTGTCGACAATGGATGGGAGTTCCTGTTGACTCATATCCTCCCCAGCATTTGGTGTTGTCAGTATTTTGAATGTCGCCATTCTAATTGGTGTGTAGTAGTATCTCATTGTTATCTCAATTTGCATTTCTCCAATGACATATGATGTGGAGCATCTTCTCATATGCTTATCATTCTGCATATCTTCTGGGGTGAGATGTTTGTTCAGATTTTTTACTCATTTTGTTGTTTGTTTTCTTCTTGTTGAATTTTGAGGATTCTTTACGTATTCTGGATACTAGTCTTCTATTGGATATGTGTTATACAAAGATTTTCTCCCAATCTTTGGTTTGTCTTTTTATTGTCTTAACAGTGTCTTACACAGAATGGAAGTTTTAATTTTAATGAAGTCCTGCTTATCCATTTTTCTTGATGAATCATGCATTTTGATGTTGTACCTAAGGTCATAACCAAAATCAAGGTCAACTAGACATTTTCCTATGTTGTCTTCTAGAAGTTTTATAGTTTTGCACTTTACATTTAGGTCTATGATCCATTTTGACTTAATTTTTGTGACAGGTGTAAAGTCTGTGTATAGATTTATATTTTTGCATGTTGGATGACCAGTTATTCTACCACCATTTGTTGAGAAGACTACCTTTTCTTTTGAATTGCCCTTGCTTCTGTGTCAGAGATCAGTTCACTACGTACATGTGGGTCTATTTTTTGGCCCGCTGGTATGTTCCATTGATCTATGTTTTTATTCTTTCACCAATACCACACTGTCTTGATCACTATAACTTTATCATAGATTTTGAAGCTATACAGTGTAAGACTTTCAAACTTGTTCTTCTTTAACATTTGTTGGCTAATCTGGATCTTTTGCCTTTTTATATAAACTTTGGAATCAGTTTGTCAATACCCACTAGATAACTTGCTGGGATTTCTATTGGGATTGCTTTTAATGTATAGATGAAATTTGAAAGAACTGACATCTTCACAATATTGAGTCTTTCTATCCATATACTTAGAACAACTCTCCATTTATTTAGATCTTCACTGAATGCCTTCATCACAGTTTGAGTTTTCCTCCTATAGATCTGATAAAATCAGAACAATGATGTGGAGCTATCACTGTCTTTGTTGAAGGAAACAACAAAACATATGTGCTCATTGGGAGAAATATTAGCAAATTATCACACTGATTTGTTTTCTCTTAAATGTCAATTAATAGATGAAATTGCAATGTGAAAATAATCATTGTTAACTTGTGTGAAGAAAATATGAGGGAAGATGGCTGACTAGACACAGCCAGGAGGAACAGCTCCCACCAAGGGACCAGGACATTGAGAAGACTGGTGTGCTCCTGGAAGATCTTCAGAGGGAAGGCTTTGAGAGCAGACAGAGGGAAGACACAGATGTTGGGCTGAAGGGGGAGGAAGCCGGGAACCCTGCAAGGGGCAATCGTGCACCAGGACTCATTCCAGGTCCCCAAAATCTCCTGGAGGAGAGGTGAGTTGAACAGGCAAGGGGCAACCTCCTCTTGTCACAGGTCCCTGAATTCCTGACAGGAGGAGACCCTACAACCACCAGGGACACTTGAGTTGTCAGGAAGACCTGCTTATAAAGTGTTAATGGTAGAACTCCAGACTGTGCAAAGCCCAGAAGGTTTTGTGTGCGAGCATCTGTAGTGGAGAATGGTCAGGGACACCCATTGCCCTAGGCTAGACTTGTTCTCATAGGAGACTTCAGCCCTAGGGCAACTGTCAGACCTGAACTCTGCAGGGCAGTCTTGCCCCTGAGACAGGGCCAGTCTGACCTGAGCATCCTTCAGTCTGCTCACCCCTCCTGGGGCCCCAGCCTGGCCACACCTGCTTGCAGTGCAGCTTCACAGCGGGGTGCAGTGGAGGCTACCTCCTGAGGACCTGCATCATAGTTCCTGTGCTGGCTGACTGTGCCTGACCAGCAGAGATCTGCTGCAGAGTGGCCCCCATGTACACACATCAGCCTAACTGTGCCCTGCCCCCACTGCAGTCTCCCCGTGCCACTTTGCCTGCATGCACTAGCCCACGGCCATCCCCCACATCGTTTTGCCAGTGCATGTGTGTGTGTGTGGACCTTGCCTCCCCTTTCCTGCCACAGTGTGTGTGCCATGCTACTGCTGCCATCCTGAGTGCACTTCACCCTCTCGACCCCCCACCATACTGCCATTACTGTTGGAGCATTGATGAGTGGGCATGAAGCCCGCCAGCCCTGCCCCTGCCAACGCCCTGCCCCTGCACCGACACTACCACCAGTGTGACAATAGGCACCGAGAACAGAGGACCCACCCCTGTTCTGAGCGGCTACGACCACCCACGTGAATGTGCAAGGAGAACTCACACAGTCCTGTGCTCACCAGTGCTTCACTCCCATGCTAACACCGCCACCGGCACAAATGCACACAAAGACACAGGGGTGCGGGAGGGGGCAAGCATCCCCCACCCCCAACCCCTGCACCGTGATGCCACAGTTGCTGCTATGAATGCCCACAATGAGGCCAGCATGCTGGCAGCCACTAGCTCCCTGCCACAGCCAGTGAATGTGCACCACACCTCGCTGCCACTGCTGCTGCTGCTGCTGAAGGTGTGAACCAGGATGGATCTCACTGGCACTGCCCTATGAAGCACTTTGACTGGCACCACCCATCAGAGTGTTGTGACCAGTGGTCTTGGATCATCTTGGTCCTTCCAGCACAGCAGGTTCCTAACCTTTAGGGGCCAGAGACAAAGCCTGGGCCAGAAACCAGTCCCCCAGGGTTAGAGCATGCAGTTCGAGAGTCCTGAGCTGAATCTGAGCCTCCTAAAATATTCCAGAAATGAAACCAGTCAGTTGAACCCACCTTGTACCAAAACCAAACCCTCAAGGCCATCAAATAGAATAAAATAAAATAAAGCTCAGCCACAGGACATTAACTTAAAAGATTAAAGAAACATCAGCCCACAGAGATGAGAAAGAATCAGCACAAGAATCCTGACAGCTCAAAAGTCAGAGGGCCTTCTTCCCTCCAAATGACCACATCACCTCTCCAGCAAAGATGAGATGGTTGAAGTGACAGAAATGTAATTCAGAATATGGATATGAATGAAGATCATTAAGATTCAACAGAATGTTGAAACCCTATCTACGGAAGCTAAGAGGCACAATAAAATGATACAGGAGCTGACAGATAAAATAGCCATAGAGAAAAGAATGTAACCCAACCGATAGAGCTGAAAAACACGCTACAAGAATGTCATAATGCAATGGCAAGTATTAACAGCAGGATAGACCAAGCTGAGGAAAGAATCTCAGAGCTCGAAGACTGGCTTTCTGAAATAAGACAGCCAGACAAGAAGAAAGAAGAAAGAGTGAAAGTAAGAAATCTCTGAGAAACATAGAATTATGTAAAGAGACCGAATCTATGACTCATTGGTGTCTCTGAAAGAGATGAGGAGAATGGAAACTACTTGAAAACATATTTTAGGATTTCATCCATGAGACCTTTCCCAACCTAGTTAAAGAGACCAACATTCAGATTCTGAAAATGCAGAGAACCCTGCAAAATCCTTCACAAGAAAATCATCCCCAAGAGACATGATTATCAGATTCTCCAAGCTTGAAATGAAGCAAAAAAATCTTAAAGGCAGAGAAAAAGTAATGAGAGATAACCTACAAAGGTACAAAGGGAAGTCCATTAGACTAACAGCAGACCTATTAGCAGAAACCTCACAAGCCAGAAGAGGTTGGGAGCCAATATTCAACATTCTTAGATAAATGGAATTCCCACCAAGATTTCAAATCTAACCAACCTGAGCTTCATAAGTGAAGGAGAAATAAGATCCTTTTCAGACAAAGAAGTGCTGAGAAGATTTTTTTTTAACCACCAGACATGCCTTATAAGGCTCCTAAAGGAAGTACTAAATATGGAAAGAAAAGCCTGTTACCAGCCACTAAAAAAAAAAATACACTGAAATACACAGCCCAGTGACACTATAAGGCAACCACATAAGCAAGTCTTTAAAATAACCAGCTAACATTATGATGACAAGATTACATTCACACGTATCAGTATTAATCTTGAATGGAAATGGACTTAATTCCCCAATTTAAAGGCACAGAGTGGCAAGCTGACTGAAAAAGCAATACCCAATGGTATGCTGTCTTTAAAAACCTTATCTCACATGCAATGACATCCATAAATTCAAAACAAAGAGATGGAGGAAAATCTACCAAGCAAATGGAAAACAGAAAAAAAAGCAACTTTAAACCAACAAAGATTAAGAAAGACAAAGAAGGGCATTACGTAATGGTAAAAGGCTCAATTCAACAAGACATTACTATCCTAAATATATATGCTCCCAACACAGGAGCAGCCAGATCCATAAAGCAAGTTCTTGGAGACCTTCAAAGAGACTTAGACTGTCATACAATATTAGTGGGAGACTTCAACACCCTACTGACTATATTAGACAGATCATTGAGGCAGAAAATTAACAAAGATATTCAGGACCTGAACTCAACACTGGACCAATGGACCTGATAGACATCTACAGAACACTCCACCCCAAAACAATAAAATATACATTCTTCTCATTGCCACATGGCACATACTCTGAAATCAACCACACATTGGACATAAAACAATACTCAGCAAATGCAAAAAGAACTGAAATTATACCAACCACACTCTCATACCACAGTGCAGTAAAAACAGAATTCAAGTCTAAGAAAATTGCTCAACACCATACAATTACATGGAACTTAAACAACCTGCTCCAGAATGAGTTTCAGGTAAATAATGAAATTAAGGCAGAAATCAAGAAGTTTTTTGAAACTACTGAAAACAAAGTTACAACATACCAGAATCTCTAGGACACAGCTAAGGCAGTGTTAAGAGGGAAATTTATAGCACTAAAAATCCACATCAAAAAGTTAGAAAGATCTTAAATTAACGACCTAACATCATGACTAAAATAACTAGAGAAGCAAGAGCAAACTAACCCCAAAGCTAGGAGAAGACAAGAAATAACCAAAATCAGAGCTGAACTGAAGGAATTGAGACACGAAAAACTATTCAAAAGATCAACAAAGCCAGAGCTAATTTTTTGAAAAAGTTAATAAGATAGATAGACCACTAGCCAGAATAATAAAGAAGAAAGAGAGAAGATCCAATTAACACAATCAGAAATGACAAAGAGGATATTAGCACTTACCCCACAGAAATAAAAATAATCATCAGAGAATATTATGAACCCCTCTACACACACAAACTACAAAACCTAGAAGAAATGGATAAATTTCTGGATACATACACCCTCCCAAGACTGAACCAGGAAGACATTGAATCCCTCCACAAACCAATAACAAACTCCAAACTTGAATTGGTAATAAATAGCCTACCAATAAAAAAAAATAAAAATAAAAAAGCCCAGGACCAGATGGATTCACAACTGAATTCTGCCAGCTGTACAAAGAAGAGCTGGTACCATTCCTAGTGAAACTATTTCAACAAATGGAAGAGGAGAGACTCCTCCTCAGCTCATTCTATGAGGCCATTATCATCCTGATATCAAAACCTCTCAGAGACACAAAAATAAAAGAAAACTTCAGGCCAATATCCTTGATGAACATGGAAGCAAAACTTCTCAACAAAATTCTAGCAAACTGAATCCAGCAGCACATCAAAAATTTAATCCACCACTATCAAATAGGCTTTATTCCTGGAATGCAAAGTTGGTTCAACATTTGCAAATCAATTAATGTGATTCGTCACATAGACAAAACTAAAGACAAAAACCACGATTATCTCAATAGACAAAGAAAGACTTTTGATAAAATTTAACATCCCTTTATTTTAAAAACTCTCAATGAACTAGATTAAAGACTTAAATGTAAAACCTAAAACTATAAAAATCCTGGAAGACAACCTAGGGAATATCATCCTGGACATAGGAATGGGCAAAGATTTCATGACAAAGATGCCAGAAGCAATTGCAATGAAAGCAGATTTGACAAATGGTATCTAGTTAAACTAAAGAGCTTCTGCACAACAAAAGAAACTATCAACAGGGTAAACAGACAACCCACAGAATGGGAGAAAATATTTGCAAATTATGTATCTGACAAAGGTCAAATATCCAGCATCAATAAGAAACTTAAGTAAATTTATAAGAGCAAAACAAACAATCCCATTAAAAAGTAGGCAAAGGACATAAGCAGATGCTTTTCTAAAGAAGACATACATGTGGCCAACAAACATATGAAAAAAAATCCCATTATCACTGATCATTAGAGAAATGCAAATAAAAACCACAATGAGATACCATCTCACACCAGTCAGAATGGCTATAATTAAATGTCAAAAAATTACAGATGCTAGTGAGGTTGCAGGGGAAAAAAAAACGCTTATGCACTGTTGGTGGGAGTTCAAATTAGTTCAACCATTGTGGGAAGCAGTGTGATGATTCCCCACAGAACTAAAAATAGAACTACCATTTCACCCAACAATCTCATTATTGGGTACATACCCAAAGGAATATATGTCATTCTATCATAAAGACACATGCATGCATATATTCAGAGCAACACAATTCACAATCGCAAAGATCTGGAGTCAATCTAAGTGACCATCAATGTTAGACTGGATAGAGAAAATGTGGTACATATACACCATGGAATACTATGTAGTCATAAAAAAGAATGAGATCATGTCTTTTGCAGGAACATGGAAGGAGCTGGAGGCCATGATGCTTAAACTAATGCAGGAACAGAAAACCAAATACCACATGTTCAAAACCAAATACCACATAATTGGGAGCTAAATGATGAGAACACATGGACACAAAGAGGGGAACAACACACACTGAGGCCTACTTGAGGATGAACGGTGGGAGGAGAGACAGGATCAGGAAAAATAACTATTGGGTACTAGGCTCAGTATCCGGGTGATGAAACAATCTATTTTCCTACATAACAAACCTTCACATGTACCCCTTAATCTAAAATACAAGATTTTTAAAAAAAGAAAATATGAGGAATAGCATACCATTTGGGTTGAGATAAGGAGAAAGAAAACATGCTTCGCTTACAAGATTTTGTTGGAAAACTGCAAAAAAATGTCTTTTACAAAATTGTTAAACATTTTTTTTTTAAATCAACACCACAATCCTTAAGTGCTTTAGTCAAAATACTTGTCAAGTGAGTAAAAAAAACAAATTAGTTGATCTTGCCTCTCCCCAGATTTTAGGTTCTGTCTACACAGGAACTGAGCAATAGATCTTATGTTATGACTTATTTTGGTAAAATAAATGGTCAGCGTAGCAAGAAAATGAGTTTAATTGAAGTTTTTCCTGCCAAAGATTGTAGGTTCCCTCGTTTATAGATACTGTATCATGGAATTTACTTTAGGTAGTTTTTTTTTTCCTTCTCTGTCTCTGAAAAGACCTTGCATGGTAGTAGGCTTATTTTGGCTTAGTGATTGTCAGCCCTGACTTGATTACTCATTAAAGTAACCTGGAAAGCTTTAAAAATACTGAGGCCAGGCCCCTCCCCACAGATTATATTGAATTGAACTGTGATGGGGCTAGAGAATTAGGATGTTTTTTGAAGCAGCTGGACTTGTGAGTCACTGGTAGCCACACGATAATATTATTTATTACATGCAGTTGTTTGATTGAATTAAATTTTTGTCTGAATTTCTGACCAGTTTTGATAAAGTATTTCATCCAGTACCCCATGTGCATACAGACTCACTTGTCTACTATAAGAGGAAAGTATTGTGTGACATGTTTTCACGAGTCCCTCACATTTCTGCACACTTTACGAGCAGACACAGACTGCCCTTTGTTTTGACCATCTTTTCAAGCATGTTGGTATCTCCTTCTGGAACAAAGACTAGGCATAGTTAGGGATCTTTACAAGGGATTTGCATTCCCTGAGCTCAGGGCTCCTATCCCGTAATGCATGTGCATTCATCCATCTGAGTCCATCCATGTCCTTCCCGTGGGACTCCAGGGCAAGGACAACTGATACCCTGTTGCTTATGCTGTTTGTTGGTCCATAAATAATAATGTTATTGACTGAGTGTGGTGGCTCACGCCTGTAATCCCAGCACTTTGGGAGGTTCAGGCAGGCAGATCACAAGGTCAGGAGATCGAGACCATCCTGACTAACACGGTGAAACCTTGTCTGTACTAAAAATACAAAAAATTAGCTGGGCGTGGTGGTGGGCGCCTGTAGTCCCAGCTACACGGCAGGCTGAGGCAGGAGAATGGCGTGAACGTGGGAGGCAGAGCTTGCAGTGAGCCGAGATCATGCCGCTGCACTCTAGCCTGGGCGACAGAGCGAGACTCCATCTCAAAAAAGTAAATAAATAAAATAAAATAATAAAATAATAACAATAATAATAACGTTCTTTGTCTCTGACCTGGGAGTCTTATTTCTTTTGGCAGCATCCATGAGAGTGGCAGGCCAACTTGTTAGATTGTAAGTAGTATAAAATTTCAGACCCTTTACTGTTCTTGCCAGGAAGATGAGTGTTAAATTGGATTAATACTTTGAAAATAAATGCAGAGAAACAATGTCTGGGAATAACTATTAAAAAGACATAATATATAAGGATCTCTGGGGTGTCCCACTTGGTAGAGCTGTAAGGTAACAGGGTGAATGTATCTTCTGAAAAGCCACAGCTTGCCTGTGATGCCACATTACAGGAAGTCATCGCATTTTGCAGGTATTTTGCATTTACATTTTCTCGCAGCTGAAGGAATAATCGCTGTCTGGAGGTCTTAAAAAATAGATAATTGTCTCTAATACTATATCTTTACTGTTTACATTTCTTGTTATTGAACATCTACATGTCCAGGTGTGGTGGCTCACACCTGTAATCCCAGCAGTTTGAGAGGTCAAGGTGGGAGGATCACTTGAGCCCAAGAGTTCAAGACCAGCCTGGGCAACATAGTGAGACTCCACCTCTACAAAGAAAAAAAAATTAGCCAGGCATGGTGGCATGCACCTGTGGTTCCAGCCACTCAGGAGTCTGAGGTGGGAGGATCGCTGGAGCCTGGGAAGTTGAGGCTGCAATGGGTGTGATTGCACCTTTGCACTACAGATTACAGACTGGGACACAGAATGAGACCCCATCTCCGAAAAAAAAAAAAAAAAAAGAAAATATACAAAAATATGTGTTTCTGTGGACTAGCTAAATATATTAGTGTTATATTATTAGGGAAATTTGATGAGTTAAACCCACTATTTAAATGCCATAACTAAGGCCACATCACGTCTTTACAGTGTAGTTTTAAACTAGACCATCCAGTTTCTAATGAAGAGACAACTCCGTCAGTTCCGACATGAGCCCAAACAAAACTTTATCCCCCCATAAAGTGGATTACAGATATGCACACACATCAGCAAGGGAAGCATGACAACAGTTCATTTAATGCTGTTATATGCAACCCTATATTGTATTCTGAACACAATGAAAATAAGATGTGGCCCAAGCATGGTGGCTTATGCCTGTAATCCCAGCACTTCGGGAGACCAAGATGGGAGAATCACTTGAGCTCAGGAGTTTGAGACCTGCCTGAGCAACATAGCGAGATCTTGTCTCTGAAAAAATATATTCTTTTAAGTGAAAAAAAAAATAAGATGAGATGTCTGCCCTTCAGCATATAATAATAATAATTTTAGAGCATCTATTCTACACCAGACATTGTGACTAAATGCCATACAAGGCACTGTTATAATTTCCAATGTACATATGGTAGGGCTGAAGTTTAGGAAGTTTAGCTTGTTCAAATGAGAACACATGGACACAGGGAGGGGAACATCACACATCAGGGCCTGTAGGGGGATGAGGGACAAGAGGAGGGAGAGCATTAGGACAAACACCTAATGCATGCGGGGCTTATAACCTAGATGATGGGCTGATAAGTTCAGCAAACCACCATGGCACATGTATACCTATGTAACAAACCTGCACATTCTGCACATGTATCCCAGAACTTAAAAATAAAATAAAATAAAAAAGTTTAGCTTGTTCAGCATCCCATAGTAAGACACTGAGATGCAGGACTCAGGCTCTTAACTGAACAACACCCTATTACACAGATGCTACTTGAAGAAACAGATCAGCCCACCTACCTGACTTGACACCTTATAAATGAAATAGCCCTGTGAGCACACCTCAATGCAATCTCAGAAGATCCTCCCAAGCTATTTCACTTATTTACAAGGGAAATTGGAAATTGTTGCTGTAGCTGACAATATATTTATTGAAAACATTAGAGTGGAAGAAGTAAAGTACAAGTGAATTTGACATTTCAGAACATTTTGGCTTTTTGTCAAAGGTATTTGAAATTGCAAATGAGGCTTTGGCAGTTACTGAAAAGATGTATCAACTGAGTTCAGGAGATGAGTTTTGGGGTCAATCTTGAATTCTCTTCCTAGGGAAGATCTGTGTTGGTGAAGCATAGAGTTTGCAAAGGCATTCCTCTGAATTTGTGCTATTTATACAGAAGAGCTCTCCTTTCCTGTGGATTTCATTTACACGATTGGAAAAATTACCTCTTTATTCGAAATAATCTTTGTGAAATTATATTTTCCAATATATAATAAAAGAGGTGAATCTGGGAAAAGTGTGTAGTAAAAAATTTGACTTGGACATGCCATTAGGTTAAAAGATTGAATTAGGATTTATTTTAAAGATTCAGCATGGCAAAGAGGAAAGTGGCCAACTTTAGGATCTATAAATCCGATGTTGAATACTGGCCTGGCCTCGTCCTCATGCAGTGACCTTGAAGGTTTCTTATGAAAAGAGAACTCTTGTTAGTGCCTGGTATTTGGCTTTTACTCACAAGCTGATCACTGTTGCTCTATTTGTCACTGAGATTTTCATGGTGATAGTGAGGTAATGATGGTGATAATGAGGTTAAATTTTTTAAGTATCTCAGAAATGGGAGAAAATATTACAAGCATTGAATTATAAATGTGTGCCTATTGAGCTTATGCAAGAATAAGGCAGAACTTTCCCTCAAGGTGCATAGGTATTATTGAAGAAATAATACAGACAGAATTACAAACATCGACTATATGATAAACTTTTGAAGTGCACCTTGCGAATAGATCCAAAGGAGGGTTGGGTTTTTGCTAGAAGGATTCATACTCATTTGAACAACTCAATGGAGTATAAATAATTGAAATAAAATACCTTAACATGTTTATTCAATTACCGAAGCCAGTCTTATAAATTATAACACAGAAGCATAGACATATTTTTATTTGGGTATATTGTTTCTTGCCTTTAGGACGTTATAATGAGGTATCACATTTAAACATAAGGCTGACATAAAACGTCAAAACAGATATATGAGGGATATGACTAAAAGTTGTTCTTTCCAAATATAGGTGCACAACTCAAAAATGTCTAACTTATAAGAACTTTCCATCTGTATGAGATTAACCAGTTAACTTGTTATCATACCTAATGAGTACACTCCTGGTATAGTTAACTTTTAAAACAGCTGAACTTTATAATACATGATTATGAGTAGACAATATTTCAGAGATCCTAAAAAGCTTGTTTAAAATGTCTCTTTTGATTAGAATGAAAGATAAACAGTGACAGATGATGCCTATTGTCTCCATGGTAATTACACTAATTAAAAGTAACATGGCTATGCTGTGTAGCTGCCTGGACTTTGAGAAAGACCTCATGCCACAGGGCTGAGGAACATTCCTGTGGATCCCTAGTACACACGGGATCAAAGGGATACCTTAATCTATAGTTTCCTAAAAACAAAGAGTTAAGTTGCTTTTAAAAATTAAAAAATATATATACATTATTTTTATTATTTTAAAAGTATGGAAAGTCACTGGGGAAAGGAGGGGAAAGCATTTATTTTTATACAGTTACTTAATTACCTCCAAAACACAAATTTTGGAAATCATATTTGCTGGTGTAAGTATTTTAATGAACAAGAATCCATATATTGAGGTTATGATTAGAGAGCTCAATGTATGCATTTGCCATCTTGCTTAAGCTCGGCAGAGCATGAAAACCTAAGTTTATTCCCAAAGTATATAACTTCAAATAAAAAAAAACTTCAAGTTCCAGCCACACACTCTCTCTCTCGCTCCGTACCTCCCTCTTCATCGTCTCTCTATATATCTTACATACTTTAAAGCCCCAGCCAGGTGCAGTGGCTCACACTTGTAATCCCAGAACTTTGGGAGGCCGAGGCAGGTGGATCACCTGAGGTCAGGAGTTCAAGACCAGCCTGGCCAAGATGGCAAAACCCCATCTCTACTAAAAATACAAAAATTAGCTGGGCATGGTGGCACGCCTGTAATCCCAGCTATTTGGGAGGCTGAAGTAGGAGAATTGTTAGAACCCGGGAGGTGGAGGTTGCAGTGAGCCGAGATCACGCCATTGCACTCAGCCTGGGGACAGAGCGAGACTCTGTCTTAAATAAATAAATGAATAAATAAAATAAAATAAAGTCCCACTTCACTTCTCAAATGGGACTTCTGATTAACATTTTGGTTTGTAAACCAGGGAATAACTCCTACATTTTATTCATTCAGGGAGAACAGACTATATGCTGGGTCATATGTTATGTTCATATTTTCTCTGACTCTCATTCATGAAGATGTCTGCCTTTCATTAATTTGTTTTCTTGTCACTCTGTGAAAACATAACTTCAAGACTCACAGACACTGAAAAATACTATTTTTCAACCACTAATTTCTAACGTTGGTGAAGGCAAGCTTCATTTCCCCCAGGAAGCTTTCACTTTGAAGATACAAACTCCCTGAGTGGAACAGGAGTTTTATCTTCACTTTGGAGCTCTAGAGGACCATAGACAGAATCTAGTCCAACATTACAGATAAAGAAACTGAGGCCTAGAGGAGACAGGTGACTTGTAGAAAGGTCCTACAGGGAGTAGCAGAACCCGAACCCACATGCAGTCCACCTAACTCTGAGACCGGGTCGCACTGACAATGCCATGTCCACCTTCATTACAGCACAAAATTCAGGGAATGGGGAGCATCTATAGAGCTCTTGGGAAATAAAACACCAAAGCTTACAGATCCACTGATGAACCCAGTGCTGCATTTATAGACCCACGTTAAGGGTCAAGCACACACGTCAGCTAGTGAAGAAAAGAAATTCTGACCTGGACAGAGTACATTAGCATCCTTATAGTTGCATTTGCTAAATAAGTCTCTTCTAAGCTCAACTCTCTGAAGAACCTCCAGGAGTTATGAGAGGTTTTGAAGAGAAATTGTAATTACTTGGGCCTTGACGAAAAGGATGAAAAAAGGTCTTTAATAGTTTTGTGAAGGAACAAGAGGATTTTGTTCATGGCCATAAAAACTAAACTCAGCAAAGGAGAAAACATAAGGCAATGGAGAAAAAACAGCCTTCTCAACAAACGGTACTGAAACAATGGGACATCCACATGAAAAAATGAGTCTAGACAAAGACCTTATGAGCTTTGCAAAAATTAACTCAGAGTAGATCATAGACCTAAATGTAACATGCAAAACTGTAAAATCCTAGAGGATAACATCAGAGAAAACCTGGATGACCCTGGATACGGTGATGACTTTGCAGATGATCCAGGAATTGCACTCCTTGCTATTTACCCAAAGGAGTTGAAAACTTATGTGCACACAAATACATTCACACAGACATTTATAGCAGCTTTACTCATATTTGCCAAAATATGGAAGAAACCAAGATGTCCTTCATTAACTGGCTGAATAAAAAAACTGTGGTACATTCAGGCAACACCAATGAAAGAAATATTTTGTAAGCTAGAATTTATTAAAGTTAAAAACTGGCTGTGCATGGTGGCTCACGCCTATAATCCCAGAATTTTGGGAGGCCAAGGCGGGTGGATCATCTGAGGTCAGGAGTTCAAGACAAGCCTGGTCAACATGGTGAAACCCTGTCTCTATTAAATATACAAAAATTAGCTAGGTGTGGTGGCCGGCACCTGTAGTCCCAGCTACTCAAGAAGCTGAGGCAGGAGAATTGCTTGAACCCGGGAGGTGGAGGTTGCGTGAGCTGAGACACCACCACTGCCCTCTGGCCTTGGCGACAAAGCAAGACTCCATCTAAAAAAAAAAAAAAACCATAGATACTATGAGAATGAGAAGACAAGTCACAAACTGGGACAAAGTATATTCAAAAGTCATGTCTGATAGAGGACTGTTATCTGAGTTATATAAAGGACACTTAAAGCTCAACAATAAGAAAACTAACAACCCGATTTTTAAAAGGGCAGAAGACCTGAAAAGATGCCTCATCCAAGAAGATATACAGATGGCAAATGAGTATATGAAAAGATGTACAACATCATATGTCACTGGAAATTGCAAATCAAAACAACAGAGAGACACCACTACACACCTATTAGAATGGCTTAAATCCAAAACACTGACAACACTAAAAACTGGCAAGGATGTGAAGCAACAGGAATTTTCATTCATTTCTGGGCAATGCAAAATAGTACAGCCACTTTAGAAGAGAGTTTGGCAGTTTTAAAAAAACTAGGCCAGGCGCGGTGGCTCACGCCTGTAATCCCAGCACTTTGGGAGGCGGAGGCGGGCAGATCACGAGGTCAGGAGATCGAGACCATCCTGGCTAACATGGTGAAACACCATCTCTACTAAAAATACAAAAAAATTAGCTGGGTGTGGTGGTGGGTGCCTGTAGTCCCAGCTGCTGGGGAGGCTGAGGCAGGAGAATGGCGTGAACCCGGGAAGGCGGAGCTTGCAGTGAGCCGAGATCGCGCCACTGCACTCCAGCCTGGGCGACAGAGTGAGACTCCGTCTCAAAAAAAAAAAACAAAAAAAACTGAACATATTCTTACCAGATGATTTAGCAATTGCATTCCTTGATATTTCCCCAAAGGAGGTGAATACTTGGGTCCACACAAAAACCTGCACACAGATGTTTACAGCAGTTTTATTCATAATTGCTAAAATGTGGAAGCAATCAAGACGACCTTCAGTAGCTGAATGGATAAATAATCTGTGGTACATCCAGACAATGGAATATTATTCAACCTAAAAAGATGAGACCTATCAAGCCATGAAAAGACATCAAGAAACCCTAAGTGGACATTACTAAGTAAAAGAAACCCAATCTGAAAAGGCTAACTACTTTTGATTCTAAGTGTATGGCATTCTGGAAAAGGCAAAACTTTGGAGACAGTAAAAAGATCAGCATTTGCCACTTGTTAGGGAGGAGGGAGAGATGAATAGACAAAGCACAGAGGCTTTTGGGGCACTGGAACTATTCTGTATAATACTATAACGGTGGATACATGTCACTACACCTTTGTCAAAACCTATATTATGTACAACGCCAAGATTAAAATCTGTTGCAAACTATAGACTCTGGATGATAATGATGTATCCATGTAAGTTGGTTGTGACAAGTGTACCACTCTGGTGAGGGGTGCTGATTGATCACGGGGGAGGCAGTGCGTGTGTGGAGGCATAGGGTATATGAGAATTCTCTGTACTTTCCACTCTGTTTTGCTGTGAAACTAAAACTATTCTGTGGAATAAAGTGTATTGTTTTTCTTAAAAAGGTAAACTTAGCCGGGCGCGGTGGCTCACGCCTGTAATCCCAGCACTTTGGGAGGCCGAGGCGGGTGGATCACGAGGTCAGGAGATCGAGACCATCCTGGCTAACAAGGTGAAACCCCGTCTCTACTAAAAATACAAAAAATTAGCCGGGCGCGGTGGCGGGCGCCTGTAGTCCCAGCTACTCGGGAGGCTGAGGCAGGAGAATGGCGTGAACCCGGGAAGCAGAGCTTGCAGTGAGCCGAGATTGCGCCACTGCAGTCCGCAGTCCGGCCTGGGCGACAGAGCGAGACTCCGCCTCAAAAAAAAAAAAAAAAAAAAGGTAAACTTAGTTTAAACCTAATGTGAGACTTAATCATTATCAAAAAAAGGGAAAATGCTTCCAATTGAGAATTCCTGGAATTTACTGGTGTTTAGTAAAATTAAAGGCCAATGATGAAGAAAGTTAAGGTCTGCCACAGGCTGGATATCTTGTAATGACTTTCTTTATAACTAGTGTATTTTGAAAAGTAAAAGAACTTTATGGGTAGTGAAAACTTAATGAAAATTGCAACCGTCTCATTAGATGGTATCACAGGCATTTAGGTATGTTCAAAGGTCTATGGTTGGGCCGGGTGAGGTGGCTCATGCCTGTAATCCCAGCACTTTGGGAGGCCCAGGTGGGCGGATCACGAGGTGAGGAGATCGAGACCATCCTAGCTAACATAGTGAAACCCTGTCTCTACTAAAAATATACAAAAATTAGCTGGGCCTGGTGGCAGGCGCCTGTAGTCCCAGCTACTCCGGAGGCTGAGGCAGGAGAATGGCGTGAACCCGGGAGGCGGAGCTTGCAGTGAGCAGAGATCCCGCCACTGCACTCCAGCCTGGGCGATACAGCGAGACTCCGTCTTAAAATAAATAAATAAATAAATAAACAAAGGTCTATGGTTTACTAAAAGAGTGATATTCCAATTCAATTATATTTAACGTTTTGGTGAGACATATTTTTAAAAACATGAACCAATAAAACCAAACAGTTTTACTTTAAAAAGTACAAGTTAACTAAGCATGCTAACACATTTCTCAAGAGATGGATGAAACCCTACACCTAGTGGGGTCTAGCAAAAAAAAAAAAAAAAAAAAAAAAAAAAGAAGTGCCCATTTTTGGGAATAAAAAGTATTTACCCCAGTCTTTTTTTTTGTTTTGATAAGGAGTCTGGCTCTGTCGCCCAGGCTGGAGTGCAGTGGCGGGATCTCAGCTCACTGCAAGCTCTGCCTCCTGGGCTCACGCCGTTCTCCTGCCTCAGCCTCCCTACCCCAGTCTTTACTATTTAATACAAGATGTCTAGATTTAAAATGAATTACAAGCTACACAAAAAGGCAAGAAACAACCCATTTCCAAGTGGCCGAGCAATCATCAAAACCACACTCAACACTCAGCTCTGACACAAGTGTTTGTTAGAATTTTCTGATAGAAAATTTAAAAACAACTGTAATTAATATGGTAAAAGCTCTAATGAAGAAACTGGCACCATGCAAAATCAGATGAGTAATTTCAGCAGAGATATGGAAACTATAATATGAATAAAATGGAAATGCTAGAAATAAAACTTTGGTAACAGAGATAAAGAATTCCTTTGATAGACTCGTCAATAGACTTCATGTAGCCAAGGAAAGACTCTTGCACTTAAGAAGGGAATCAATAGAACTCGCCCAAACTGAAATACAGAGGAAAACAAGAATGGGGAAAAAATAGAACAGAGCATTCAAGAACTAGGGATATCTATTCCATATTATTAAACAATCTAGTACAGATATAATTGGAATCTGAGAGACATATGTGAAGAAGTAATGTCCAAGAATATTCCAGAAGTTAACAACAGACTGGAAACCACAAATCCAAGAAAATTGGAGAACATCAAACAAGGAAAATAAAACATAACAACTTGGGTATATAATTGTCAAGCTATTAAAAACAAAAGGCTTCTTCTCCAGATTTCTATATGTTTTTAAGGAATTAAAGGAAAGGCCTTCTGAAGAAACCATAAAAGCCATTACTTTCTTTTGCAAAGGACAAAACTTAAGCAAAGAACTAACTTAAACATGAAGAGGAATTGACTGTCTCATATAAATGAAAATTAAGATATATTTTCTAATCCAGAATATTTCTGGATTCAGGAATTAAATAGTATCATCAGGATTGTGTGATTCTGTTGCTGACATCTGCCTTTCACCCTGCTGGGGTCCAGAAACCCATACACCAAAATACAGTGCTTTGACATGATGAACTCCAGAAGAAACTTCAAGGTCTCTTTTTTTTTTTTTTTTTTTTTTTTTGAGACGGAGTCTCGCTCTGTCACCCAGGCTGGAGTGCAGTGGCACGATCTCCTCTTACTACAAGCTCCACCTCCCAGGTTCACGCCATTCTCCTGCCTCAGCCTCCTGAGTAGCTGGGACTACAGGCGCCCGCCACCGCACCCGGCTAATTTTTTGTACTTTTAGTAGAGACGGGGTTTCACTGTGTTAGCCAGGATGGTCTCGATCTCCTGACCTTGTGATCCGCCCACCTCAGCCTCCCAAACTGCTGGGATTACAGGTGTGAGCCACCACGCTCGGCCACTTCAAGGTCTCTTTGACCTTCCCTCCTCTCCTTTCTCTCCCAAAGCACGAGATAAAGTTGTTCTCTGAAGTTTCTTTATAGGCCTAAAGTATGGAACTAACATAGAAGAAAACAATTACCTCTGGTATTCTCCCTGAGTTTTCCTTAACTGAAATCGTATTGAAGGAAGAAAGACTGAAGTCTGCCAACATATCTGGACAGACTTTTATCACAAACCATTGTCTGCTCTGTGGGCCCGACACACTTGGTCCCAGGTCATTGTATGTTCTTCAAACCCATTGAATCTCCCCCAAAATTATTTACTACCCTTCTAAAATCATTCACACTTCCCTACTTCTCTTTCCCTTAATAAGAGTGAATAATCACCTGTACCCCAATTTGTGGTGGAGCAATCATTCTGTGATTCTCTCTCATATACCCTAGTAAATGTATACGCCATTTATCTCACTAATCTGCCTTTTGTGAGTTGATTTTTCAGTCAATCTACTGAAGGCAAAAAGATAAGCTTTCCCTTGGCCCCTAACTCTATTGGTCAATAGAGTGTGATACTGAAGGATTTGATACAGAATCAAAAATCAATGGTTAGATCATGTCATAGATCCTCCACTTTGATCAATATAGCTTTAAATTCTCTGGGAGTGATTCTTAACTAATGATGGTCATCAGAGTCACGTGGGAACAATTTCTGAAGACAGATACCAAGATCATATGAATACAAGAATAGGGCTTGAAGATGCACATTCCCAAAATCTCTTCATGGAATTCTGATGACTTCCCTTTTTGTAAACTAGGTTTTTTGAACCCTGTCTACCTCTTAATGTCTATCCAAGAGAAGACAAGATAAAGACCTTTGAAATAATGCTTAAGATTTGCATAATCAGCCAGGTGCAGTGGCTCATGCCTGTAATCCCAGCACTTTGGGAGGCCGAGGTGGGCAGATCACAAGGTTGGGAGATTGAGACCATCCTGGCCAACACGGTGAAACCCCGTCTCTACTGAAAATACAAAAACAAAAAAATTAGCCGGGTGTGGTGGCGGGCACCTGTGGTCCCAGCTACTTGGGAGGCTGAGGCAGGAGCATGGCATGAACCTGGGAGGCAGAGCTTGCGGTGAGCCAAGATCGCGCCACTGCACTCCACCCTGGGAGACACAGCGAGAGTCCGCCTCAAAAAAAAAAAAAAAAAAAAGATTTGCATAATGTTAATCATTGTCTAGCTATGCAGATTCTATTAACAGTTTCCAGAAAAGCAACCTGTTCTGGATGTTATTACATGTTTAAGTTAAATGAGCTCTCTTCTTTTAAAAGAAACAGAACCAAGAACCAATGACTTTCAGAGAATGATTAACTCTCCAACAATAGCCCCTGCCAAAAGTAATGTGACATGAGAGTCTAGAAATTATTTTCTACACTGAAATAAAATTTGCATTATACTGGCAATAAACTATTTCTAGATGCATGAAAGCATCTGCATAGTCAAAAGGCTTAGGGAAGTCTCTCCTGGAGAAAAGCATCCCCAGATGAACGTACTTCCTCTGTAATGGGTGATGGGCAGAACAGAAACACCTGAGCACGGGACTGGAGGTGAAAAGTCCTATGTGGGACTGATTAGATTTGGAATCTTGGAAGTTACAAGTCATTTATGAAGTCTCAGATTACCATATGTAAAATGAAGGGGTTTTAATGAATGGCTGCAATCTAGAGTTTCTATTCACAAGTGTTCTTAAATGTGCTGATTCTAATTGGGGTTAGAAAGATGAGCCCCTGACTTCCTCCCCGAGCCCCTGATTTTTGCTAGCCTGTTGCTTTTCTCTGTACTAATTTCCTCTTCCACAGTTTTTATAACAACAGTGTTAAAAAGGCTAATTGGCTGGAGAAGTATGGCAGATAGCGCAAATTCCAATAGAAGAGCCAATAAGAAGACACTTTACAGAGGAGTTGACTGATGAGCACAGGGACCTTGGGAGCTCTAAGCATGCCAAAAGTTTAGGTTGTAAGAAGGAAGGTTTAGCAAACAGAAGATTTCAAGGGCTTTGTGGTCTGTGTTAAGGGTTTTGGGGTTTGTCCTGTGGAGCCACAGGGATGATATGGAAACCATTACACTCCCTCTGCCTCTCTTGGTTCATGTGTCCAAAAATGACCCACTCAAGCTCCAGTGCCTCTTGCCTGATGCCTTCCTTCATCACTTGCTGGATACACTGTCCTGAAACAGTGACTTTGTCACGCTTTCATTTTTCAAAAACATATTCCTAATGTAGAGAGTCTGGAGAGGAGCAATGGTAAAGGCAAGAAAACGAGTTTGCAAATTGTTGTAAATGATTCATAAAATAGATATTGATGTTGTTAATTAAGGCAGTAGCCTGGGATAAAGAGTCGTCCATGAGTTTGAGAGATGTTAAGAAGGTAGAGTAAGCAGTACTTTCCTTTTTTTTTTTTTTTTTTTTGAGACGGAGTCTTGCTCTGTCACCCAGGCTGGAGTGCAGTGGCACGATCTCAGCTCACTGCAACCTCTGTCTCCTGGGTTCAAGCAATTCTCCTGCCTCAGCCTCCCGAGCAGCTGGGACTACAGTCGCACACCACCACGCCCGGCTAACTTTTGTATTTTTAGTAGAGACGGGGTTTCACCATATTGCCCATGCTGGTCTCGAACTCCTGACCTCATGATCCACCCGCCTCGGCCTCCCAAAGTGGTGGGATTACAGGCGTGAGCCACCGCGCCCAGCCAGTACTTTCTTATTAACTGAATATCGAGGTAGAGGATGAGTGGCAGGAGAGATAGTGAAAAAAAAGCTCAGGGTAACTCCACGTCTGACTTACATAACTGAAGGGACATAATGCCATTTATTAAAACAGGGATGTCTGCAAATTATTTGATTGAGGAAACAGAGAAAATGAGTTCAGTTTTGCATATCTGTTTTTGAGATGTTTGTCTTTGGTGCTTAACTATTTGTATAGCATTTGCCCAGGAGATAGAACTGGCCAGAGATTTGGGGTTATCGCCAACTGAGACCAATAAGTAGTTTAGATCCTCACTATTCAAAGTGTGGTGTATGGCCCAGGAGCATGGACATCATTTGAAAGCTTGTTTGAAATGCACGATTTCATCCTTCATCCCAGACCTATTGAATAAGAATATGCATTTTAAGATTCTCAGATAATTTATATGTACATTAAAATTCGAAACCACTGGTTTACATTACTCAGAAGAATACATTGTGAAAAATAAGCTCAAGGATGGAACATGAGAGACATCACATTCAAGAAGCAGGCAGGAAGAATGGTTAGCAATGGAGACCAAGGAGGCACATTCAGAGACCTTAGAAGAGGGTGTGGAAAAACGGTATCATGGAAGCCAGGGAAAGACAGGGTTACAAGATGAAAGGCTTAACACCTGAAAATTCCAGAGTCAGATGAGCTCGGATCTGACTACTGAGGAATTGACGGCTTCAATGTTTATAAGAGTGCGTAGACCCAAGGAAGTGGGTGGAGACCTAACAAGGAAGTGATGGAAGACTTTTTTTTTGGAGAAGTTTGGCCTTGAAGAGGTAATGGCCGTGGCTGAGGGAGAGAGTGGGTGGATAGAAAGCAAGGTCTGAAATGTAGAATTGGTTTTTCTCTTCACAGGAAAAAATGTTGATCATGTTTATAAATTGAAAAGATTAAAAATATATGAAAGGGAAGACTGATGTTAATAATTGGACAGCATCTTGATTATGACTGAGTAAACAATGTGAGGATGGACTGCCTTTGAGCAGAAGGGTTTTTCCCTCCAAGCCTTCTCAGGTTAGAAGACAAGAACGTGAGCGTGATTGCATGCAAATATGGGTAATATCTTGATGTGGTTGGTTGTTTTAGAACATGACAATGGAGAGACTTTCTGGCTGATAATCAAATTTTCTTTGTGAATGAAAGGCAAAATCTTCTGAGGGGTGGTGAAGATTTGGTAGAGCCATAGGAGAAATGGAAGAGGATGCTGAAAGTTCTGCAAAGCTGCTCCCGTGGCTGTAAATCATGAGACCAACCTCACTTGGTGGGTGAATTCTTGTGGCAACACTCTATAGCCCAGGGACAGGAACGGGAAAAGTCATGGTTGTTTTGATCCAGTTTGAAAGTTGGAGTGTTATGGGTTGAAGCATGTGGAGAGTGCTGATGAACACGATCAGAACCAAAGAGAACAGATTGAAGCTTTGAGGGGGAAACTTGAAAGGGAGTGGAGGGACTGGCAGGATAAGTGAGATGAAAGTGGACACAGTTTAGAGTTTAGAATTTAGAAGGGAATTAGTTCTCAGTACTGGTACCACCTAGTGTGGAGTGGGTAAAGAGACCAGTGAGGGAAACTGAATATAATAGGGTTTCAAGTTACAATCCTGTCAGAATCAGTTTAGAAGTCGTCTTCCAGACTCCAGTAGCCAAGAGACTTCACATCTGAGGCAGGAAAATCTCTGAAAGTATGAGTTCCAGTTTTCTTGTTTCTTATCACCTGCCTTTGAGTGAGTCATGTCACTCAAAGGCAGGTGATGAGGACTTGGAGACACTTGGAGTTCAATGGGCCTGACCCACTGAGTTGCAGATAAAAATTCACTTCTTTATTTAATTCTTAACCAATTAAATATGCAGTGAGTATGTAGGGTACTCAAAAATGTATTTCAACAGTCATCAGAGCTGCTATAAAGACCACTGAAATATGTCTTAATTATCACAGTTTGTCTAAGAAGAGAAGGCTAACACATTTGAAATACATACAAGAGACTACATAATTACGGGTAATTGCCAATTATAAATATTGACTATGGGACAGGCGCAGTGGCTCACACCTGTAATCCCAGCACTTTGGGAGGCTGAGACGTGCAGATCACGAGGTCAGGAGATCGAGACCATGCTGGCTAACATGGTGAAACCCTGTCTCTACTAAAAATACAAAAAATTAGCTGGGCGTGGTGGCGTGCACCTGCAGTCCCAGCTACTTGGGAGACTGAGGCAGGAGAATGGCATGAACCTGGGAGGCAGAGCTTGCAGTGAGCTGAGATCATGCCACTGCACTCCAGCCTGGTGACAGAGTGAGACTCCATATCAAAAAAATAAAAAAAAATATAAATAAATAAATAAATAAATATTGACTATGCAAGTTATAGGAGGTTATAGGAGTTCATGTGACTAAGTAAATCAAAGGGAGGAGTGTAATCAAGGCATCTGTCCCCCTGATAGGTAGACTTTGAATGGGTAGAGGAAATAAGAATGGGCAGGCATCTAAGACAGGCCAAATGCCCCAAGGCATAAATGAACATGGTATGTTTGTGTGGAAGAAAAGGGATGGGCCAAATAGATCTGAGGTGCTGAGTTGAAGTGTGTCAAATGATGCTTCTGTAAGGTGTGATAAGGTCAGATTATAGAAGGCTGTGCTAACCTAATGGAGAGAAAAGCTCACAGATAATAAAATGAGGGAGTCACTAGGTCTAAGCAGAGATAAAGAAATACAAACTTTCACAGATTATAAGCAATAGAAGATATTCTTTAAAAAATTAAATGCATACAAATGAAAATATCTGCATAAGAAGACTAGAGCTATATAAGGAACACAACGAAGTTGGGAAATATTGTGAATAATACTACCATCATGAAGACAACTCTCTATATTAAGTAAGTTATTTCAAAAAATAGGAGGAAATTCAAGAGCAGTAAAAAACAAAAGGAAAAAACTCTATTGTCAAGATCACATATGAGATAATGTAAATAGTTTAAAAAGTGGGAAAAATTTTATCTATCTAATAACCATAGACATGCAAGTTACAGTAGTTCAAAGCACCATTTTATGTCTAATTACTAATAAAATCTCTCTGAAAAGATAAGCCTTTCCTGGCAGTCCTGTGGAGAACGGGATGCATCATGTGCTACTTGTGACCTTGTAACCTAATGGGTGCATTCAGAAAGTAACATACAGATGCTATATAATTTATAAAAATTTCATCTTCCTTTAACTAATATCTCACTACCAGGAATTTATCCTAAGACAAGTTTTTTTTCTTTTTTTTGAGACAGAGTCTCGCTCTGTCACCCAGGCTGGAGTGCAGTGGCGCAATCTCCACTCACCGCAACCTCTGCCTCCTGGGTTCACACGATTCTCCAGCCTCAGCCGCCTGAGTAGCTGTGATTACAGGAGCTCGCCACCACACCCGGCTAATTTTTTGTGTTTTTAGTAGAGACGGGGTTTCACTGTGTTAGCCAGAATGTTCTCGATAAATCTCCTGACCTTGTGACCTCCGCCTCCCAAAGTGCTGGGATTACAGGTGTGAGCCACAGCGCCCGGGCGTTTTCGCTTGTTCAAGTGATTCTCCTGCCTCAGCCTCCTGAGTAGCTGGGATTACAGGCACCCACCACCACGCCTGGCTAATTTTTTGTATTTTTAGTAGAGACGGGGTTTCACCGTGTTAGCCAGGATGGTCTCGATCACCCGACCTCATGATCTGCCGGCCTCGGCCTCCCAAAGTGCTGGGATTACAGGCGTGAGCCCCCTTGCCTGGCCCATAGTATGTTTTATAAGTGTTCTGAAATCAAGTAATAAGAGTTTTTTTTAATGAAGGTGAGATAAGTTTCTGGCAAATGTAGAACTTGAGAATTAATGAAGTGTATACTTCTCATTTTCTACTCTAACCTTTTGAAATTAATACAATTTTAACATGAAATATTTCCATGAAATTACAAGAGAACTTTGATGTTTGTTTCTGCATTCTGGGCTCCCAGAAACATGGTGTAGCGTGGTCTGACCTGCATATCTTTGGAAATTTATAATAGGTTTCATTGTCTGATCTTAACCAAAACCCAATCCTTAATAAAATAGCCCAGTATATATATGGTTTTTTTCCTCTACTAAATGAATTACAATTCTCTGCTAGCTACCAGCACAGGGAAAATTAAAGAGAAAACCTTTCTTTCCTTACAGTGCATGAATTCTACCAGTGTGGAAGAGTGAGAAGAACCCAAGCTTCAGAGTTTTACAGCCACAGGATCAGATTTTAGTCTATTCCACTACCCAAAACTAGGCAAGTTTTCTGGGGTCATCTAGCCTCTATGACCTCATCGGTAACAACAGGCTTCACTGTGGCTTAAGTGAGATAATGAGTAGAAATGGAATGGTTTGGGCCAGGCACAGTGGTTCATGCCTGTAATCCCAGCACTTTGGGAGGCTGAGGTGGGCAGATCACCTGAGGTCGAGAGTTTGAGACCAGCCTGACCAACATGGAGAAACCCCATCTCTACTAAAAATAGAAAATTAGCCGGGCATGGTGGCATATGCCTGTAATCCCAGCTACTCAGGAGGCTGAGGCAGGAGAATCGTTTGAACCCAGGAGGCGGAGGTTGTGGTGAGCTGAGATTGTGCCATTCCACTCCAGCCTGTGCAACAGGAGCGAAACTCCATCAAGAAAGAAAGGAAGGAGGGAAGGAAGGAAGGAGGGAGGGAGAGAGGGAGGAAGGAAGGAAGGAAGGAAGGAAGGAAGGAAGGAAGGAAGGAAGGAAGGAAAAAAAAAAAAAAGAAATGTAATAGTCTGGTAGGGTGATTCCCAAACTGCTGCACATTAGAATGAAGTGGGAAGCTTTTAGAAACACAGCGTCCACATTGCACGCAACATCCATGAAGTCAAAATATTAGGCATGGGAACCAGGCATCAACAGTTTTTAAAGATCCAAGATGATTCCATTGTGCAGCAAAATTTGGAAACCAGTGCCTAGCACAAAGCAGGTACTCAGCAAAAGTCAACTTTCTTTATCTTTCAATGTGTGGTGTATTTGCCAGCTTTCGGGTAGCACTTCCTTATCTTCAATCCTTAAAACTCTGCAGCAGAGTGGCACTGCATAGGTAAATGCTACACTGACATCTTGCTGCATGCCGCACTTTACTGCAGTGGAAAATAATGAGGAGCTAGCCAATACCCATTATTAAAGTGTCACACAAGTGTTTCATCCCATCCAGTCACATTTTCCAGGGGCTTCCAATTCACACTTTCGTAAATGCGGCTGTTTCCTCTTCCTGTGACTTAGATGAGATGGAAACAGACATGCTCTCAAGTATCATATTAGCTTTTTTTCAGAACTTCTTTAGTTTTCTGGTGAGGCATCTGTGCCTCCTAGAAATGCACTTTAGACCCTGCTATACAGAAAAGTAAATTTTCTTACAACTGGTCTGAAGCATATGTATTATTCTTTTAGATCTGATGTATCAAATGCCCATGGCCCTAGGTATGCCTGTGTTTCTTTAATCTATAATGATCATTTTATACAATGTGCTGGCACCTTGCCCAGCACACTCCTTTACCTATAGCAGGTTTAGCAGGCTGGGTAATTGCTCCTTTTAAAGTTGTCTGCACTCAACACTGCCCTGTCTGGTAAATGCAATTAGAAGCAAATCCTTGGGTGTATCACCCCAGACTTTTTATTAAGCTCATATGGCATTCTCATTGCCACTATTTCTCACCAGGTTACTCATTAACCACGGGCAGCCAAAGGTCTGGATCATATCAGACGGTGACTTTCCGACCCATGAGACTCCCTTGTTCACCTTAAATATAAACCACATAGAGAAGAAACTGGGGATTTGCATGCCTGAAAGCTGACGGTGGCCATAACAAAAGCAATAAACAGAAATCCTAGAGATAGTGATGACAGAAGAAATGTCAAGGAGTTAGAGGGAGCACTTTGTGTTGGCACTGAAAGCAGCCAGAAGAAGACTCAGAGTGAGACAGAAGTTGACTCATGCAACAAACCTTCACCACTGACAGTCAAACAAAATGACTGAGGAGCGTCTCAATCATGTTAGAGGTTTATTTTGACAAGGTTAAGAATGCACCCGGGAAAAAGGAACACAAAACCACAAGAACAATCTGTGATCCATGCTTTTTCCGAAGAGGGCCTGCGAATTTTAGTATTTAATGGGAAAGAGCAGGCAGTAGGAGAAAGAGGAAGAAAAGAAAAAAGGGGGAGGGTAGATAAAAGGGGCAGGCAGTTGCATTCTGTTGAGTCTTTGATCAGTGTGCACTGAATCCACATTTCACATGTCAAAGGAAGGGGTAGAGAAATAGTCAATTATGCATTCATCTCACACTCAGTGAATCTGCATTTTTACATAAGATAAAATAAACATAAAGTAGAGGAAGTAATCAGATATGCATTTGTGAACCCAGAAAATCTGAGACAGGTCTCAGTTAATTTAGAAAGTTTATTTTGCCAAGGTTGAGGACGCATCCATGACACAGCCTCAGGAGGTCCTGATAGCATGTGCCCAAGGCAGTTGGGGCACAGCTTGATTTTTACATTTAGGGAGACATGAGACATCAATCAATAGATATAAGAAGTACATTGGTTGGGTCTGGAAAGGCAGAACAACTGGAAGCAAAGGCAGGAAGACTCAAAGCTGGGAGGGAGCTTCCAGGTCACAGATAGGTGAGACACAAACAGTTACATTCTTTTCAGTTTCTGATTAGCCTTTCCAAAGGAAGTAATCAGATATGACTCCTTTGGTGCCGGGCGGCGGGTGGGGGGCGCTTTTAGTTCTATCCTTTGTCCTTTGTTCCGGGATCTGTGAAGATAGCTGTTCTCTTGCATTTTCTGGGTGAAATTCAACAGAACTGTTTTAGGGTAAAGATCTTGGGACCCACAAAGAATTTCGTTTTGAGCAAATTGTGAGAGAGGCATGTACCCTTTTAGATCTGTAGCTGTCTTATTTAGGAACAAAATGGGAGGCTGGTTGGCATGACCCAGTTCTCAGCTTGACTGTTCCCTTCAGCTTAGTGAGTTTGGGGTCCAGAGATTTTATGTTCCTTTTACAGCACCCAGGAGGAACTGAGCATAAGCCTATTTCTCACAGCTTTGAGGAGCACTAACTGAAGTGCTCAGTTAGCAGCATTTGAATTAATTATTTCACAGCTCATCCTTAACCAAATTATTTTTTAAATGATTCTAAAACTGGAGTTTTACCTTAAGCTTAGTATTTTGAGGTAATCTTAGCAGCAGGTGGACCTTAGCTCACTAAGAGCATGAGAGCTCTTAGTCACCTCACTCATCAGTGGCTTGGCTCCTCTTTCAGAAGGCATAAAGAACCTCATCCATCAGTGCCCACATACTCCTGTAAGCGCAGGCCCCTGTTCTTTGCTTCTGGGAAGCATCCATCTGGTCCTGTATTGCTGTCGTTCCTTTTCTGTCTGTTTTCCTATGCAAACCAATCTATCATTCTATTTTGTTGCCCCATTTCCAAGTCACTTGACCAGATGGATAACCACATAAAAATGGCTAAATAATTTAAGCTTAAAAATTAGGAGCAGGAAATAATGTAAACTGGAATAGTAAGAAAATGCTGAAGGTGAGACTTGTGGAGGGCTGGCATTGTGGACGTCTTTAAGATATAAGACTTTATTATAACAGTCAAAGCAAAGGGGACACGTAATTAATACAAGACTTTTTATCAAAGAGGAAAAGCTGTCATTTTCTCAGGAATCTAATACTATTCTAAGACTTAGGTTTAAAATGTATCAGGAGTGCCTTCTAAGTGACTGTGGAAAGGGGGAAATAGTAACTATATATTTTGAATGAGTGATTCTAGATCGTGGCTTCTATTTTATGCCTACTCTTCTCCCCTTGTCTCTTGTAAACTCACTTACAACCAGATCATAATAATAAAACTAGAATGCAGAGTGGCCATACAGTACAGTGACTAAGCACGCCAGCTCTGAAGCCAGACCTTTTGGTTGGGATCTCAATACTGTTAATTTCCTCATTTGAAAGACCAGGGTAATATAATCCTTCAAGAGAGGGTTGTTATTAGGGTGGACCTGATAAATAGGGTGGACCATATAATTTGTCATACAGATGGATGCTTTAGAAAGTGCGATAATGTTTACTTGTCAAATTATTATCATGCTATTTTGACTATATTTTCTTATATGCTTTACTTGGAATATTTAAATTAGCCCATATGTAACTAGAGTCTAAAATCCATAGTTCAGGGAAATTGTGGTTGTATTTTGTCCCTTTAAAAAACACAGGGGCATTGGTGCCTAAATCATTGACCCCTGCAAAATGCAACAGGTTGCGTGGAAGTGAAACATAATGCCTCCAACCTGCTAGTTATTTACACATGTTGACCTAAGGAACACACAAGCCAGATATTCTTTAGGTTGTCTCTTTTTATTGTTAGACCACTGAATGGCAAAGTACTTGGTCTGCATTAGATTTATTTACTGTTAAAAGATTTTCAAGAAACTACAATTTAATAACATGTCCTTGATTTTTTTTCACGAGTTGAAATAATAAATATACAGTATCTATTCATCTATCCTGGAAAGTCCCTGATAAAAGCACTGCGTTTTCTTAATCAGTTTCCTTTTCTGCAGAATAAATTTCTGTTATGCTTCTTAATCAGCAAAATGACAAACAAATTAAGAAATAACCTCAAACTTAACAAAACAGAACAAAGTCTTCCCTGAAGGTCTTGGAGAACCACATGAGATCAGATCACAACCCAAGGTCTGCCCTGAGAAATGGGGAAAGCCAGGGACCTGCCACACCTCCCTTCCTCTTGTCTAATCGGAGAAGAGAAACTAAACTTAATTTTCATGATCTTACTATGTTAGCCTCATACGTAATCATCTTCTCTTTTGTCTAAATGGTTCCCTATTTTCACCTTATACTTAACTATCATATATAGGGCATATGAATACATTTATCTCAGATCCCATTCAGAAGTTGTAAAGGAATACATTATTAATAAATCAAATATTTCTACATTACATGGAAGAAAGTGTGGAACAGTTAAGAGGATGGGTACTGGTCCCAAAGAGTCCAGAGTTTAAACCCTTACTCTATATTATCTACATGATCTGCGCATGTCGCTTATTTTTAATGAGTTTTAGTTTCCTCATTTGCACACAGCGTGACACTTGTCCCAAAGGATTGAACTGAGGATTTAGTAAGATAACAGGTGTAGAGGGTGTCTTCACAGTGCTGGGCTCGTGTCAGGCCCTCGATAAATATTAATTCAATTCCCCTTCTCCTGCCCTACTACCATCCTTCGGCTCAGAGCAGCCAAAAGCTGGAAAAATAGGCTCCACCCAGAAACTGTAACAAGATAACGATAAAGCACAGTTGGACGGATCAGGGGTAATCTACTGAGTTATCCCTGTTTTAAACCACTGTGTTTGCTTCTGTGCGTAGGAGAATCACCCCATGCTGAAGGGCAAGTGGAACATTTGCACAGTTGCCCTTGGGAACATGAAGAACAACCGTTCCCTTAGCCAAGCCTAGGGCAGTGTGGAGATGAGGGGCACATGGGACGCAGGTCCCTCTGCTACAAGCTTGACTGCCATCGGAAGCTGGGAGACACCAAAGGGTGGCCCCAGGGGCTCTCTGTCATCTTATGGTGACTCAAAAAATGCACATTCCTGCATTGATAACAATGGGTATTTTTATTACATGAAAATCTATGTACTTACTATTTGTGTTCTTCCCAACATTCAACTGACTTTTCTACCTGATGCAAAATGCAGGAGGGCTGTTCACTTCTTCCTCTCTTCCTCTTCTCCTCCTATTCTTCCTCTTTCTTCTCCTTCCTTCCTCCTTCCCCTCCTACTGATGTTTTTATTTCTATCAACAAAAATGAGAAAAATCACTTTCAGTTACAAAGTAAGTCTGAAACTATATCAAAATAATTTAGATCTTTAGTAGATTGAGAAAAAACACACAAACTTTTTCAACTTGCAGGAATAAAAATGTCAAGATTATTAACTCTTCTTTATTTTTAGTGAACTATAAAACGGTTTATTGATAATTTCTGTTGAGCAAGATGACTTCAGAGTTTATATCATCTAGGCCTTAAGATTTACTAGAATTTTAATGTATCATTCTAAAGATGTGCTCACAGAATACCCCTCAGTGTTGCTTGACCGATAAAGGTACACGCTACAAACACATGGAGAAAAACGTGCAGAGCTATTCGTGCAAGAAATTAGTGGCCATTTAAATTCCTCACTTACCAACAAAATAATAGATTCCTTCATCCTAAAGAGTGCAAGTGTATTTTAGGTCCATGCCATAAATATTTAAAACTATCTCATCTTACTGAAAATTTATATAACACATGACCTTTGCAAAATTGCAACCTTTATTCTTCAAGCAAAACTTGGTTTCTGCTGGTCACCACAATGTGCTTCTTTTGGACACCATGTATAACTGAGATTGAATTGTAACTGTTAGCAGTGGAGAAAGCCTGCGGCAAATCAACTCAATTGAATTTTGTGTTCATGGATGCTTTGAGTTTTACGGAGTCTTATATTCCATTTTCAAGTGCATCATTCAGGACACAGGCCCATTTTCCATATCCCAGATCACCCAACCAGTCCAGGGCTATTTCAGAAACTTTCCTGAGCATATAATATAGACCAACGCTAGGTTGTAAACTAAGTATAAAATTCTAAGCCCCCCAACCAACTGAACAGAAACTTCTTGGCCAAGAGGACCCCAGAGAAAACTGAAAAGCTGTTTCTGGCCCTGAAAGAAAGGGAGGTCAGACACACCTTATCATACCTCCTCTGTTTTGGAGTTTGGACTCAACAAGTAACCAGCAGCGGTGTTAAAATAGAGATCCTAAGACTGACAGAACAGACCCCGTGTGGCCATAAGATAACAAATTATGAACAAACCCTAAGGCCATGCAAGGCAGGTGTAAGTCAGGCCTGCAGGCCATCAGGCTTGCTAACCAGGGCATTTTATTGTGGCTGACTCTGACAGAGCATTCTTACCTTCCTTTCTGTCAACTCTAAGCTGTAGACAGGGCCTTACTCCTTTAACCAATCACAAACCAGAGAATCCCCAAGTCCACCTACAACCTATAAGACCTCTCCTGAAGATAATCCCCCTTTCTGAACCGAACCAGTGTATACCTTCCATGTGTTGATGTCTTTGCCCGTAACTCCTGCCTCCCTGAAATGTATAAAACCAAACCAACCCGGCCACCTCGGAACCACTTACTCAAGCCTTCTTGGTTGCGTGTTTTCTCCAGGCCTCAGTCACTCATATTGGTTCAGAATAAACCTCTTTAAAATATATTACAGTTTGTTTTATCCATTAACAAAGTCAAGCAATTAGTTCTTAGATCTGAAAATATAACTATTACTGCACTAAAATAGATTAATGAAAGAGGATATACTAGATACAGGAATATGAATAGCACAAAATGTGGCACATTTGTGGAACACAGAAAAGGGATTCTATGAGTTAGCCAGTTAAAATAACTAAGGCCATGGCCATTTCACATCCCAGGTCCAGAATTTGAAAGATCAAAGTATCTCCATAAAAAATATATATTTTCCCCTTCGTGCTTGAAGATGCAATAGGCAATGTTATAGTAAAGTCAGGAAACATGAGTCTGTCTTATTTCGTTTCGGACCCTGAGTTGGCTGTTTCACATCTTTCCACCAATTCACAGGCGTGACTTTAACTATCACTCATACCCTGTACTTTTTTTTTTTTTGAGACGGAGTCTTGCTTTGTTGCCAGGCTGGAGTGCAGTGGCGATCTTGACTCACTGCAACCTCCAACTCCCAGATTCCAGAGATTCTCCTGCCTCAGCCTCGCAAGTAGCTGGGATTACAGGTGCATGCCACCATGCCCAGCTAATTTTTGTATTTTTAATAGAGACAGGGTTTCAGCGTACTGGCCAGGATGGTCTCGATCTCCTGACCTCGTGATCCGCCCGCCTCAGCCTCCCAAAGTGCTGGAAATAAAGGAATGAGCCACCGCAACTGGCCGCCCTATTTACTTTTAAATATATATTTCTAGTCCAGACTTTTCTTCCACGCCCATACTTGAATATTCATGCATCTTCTGAATTGTTTCCACTTGGATTTTTCTCAGACACCTAAGATTCAGCCTGTCAATTCTATCCATCATTCTTCCAAATCCTCTTCCTGCCCCTGAGCTCCCCCTCCCAATGCCTAGCAGCATCATTCCCTCCTGACACTTCCTTCTTACCACCCCCCCACACCTATGCCCTCCTGCCACAATTAAGTTCTGTGAACCCATTTTCTTAAAAACTCTTTAATTCTTGAATTCATATCATCATGACTTCTCACCTTCGCTATTGTAACAAAATTTAATGATCTCCCTGCTTCTATTTTTTTGATTCCCTCTCACATTTCCTTCATAGCAATCTTTTAAAATTTAAATCTAACCCTGTCACCTTTACTTTAAAATCCCTACAAGGCTTCTTACTGCTTTCAGAGAAAAGTTTAGGCTTCTTAGTTCAGCATAGAAGACATCTGTTGGTTAAATGTTGAGTAAATTAAACTTTGAGGTTTTATTAGGTAAATTAAAATCCTTTAACCTCTAAGAACTCTAGCATCCTAGATGCAATACCAAATCCTCTATCTAGTACTTCCACCAGGGCACCTCCCTCTGCCCATATACTGACCCCATCCCAACTACTTAACAACCCATAGGTTGTCATAAAGAAAACAGAGACTGACAAGGCTTAGAGACCCTTAGAATACTTTTATAACCTCTTCATTTTCATAGTACCTTGAGTGCAAGCTGCTCCATCTGAGACACGACTCTTTAGAGATGAAGCTAATCAAATCAGTACATGTTCAGCCCCCTTGCTATCCAGCTCCTCACCATACCATAACACTCCACATGCCATAACCAGTGCCTACCCCTTCACAAGTACTTGGCAAGGGGCAAAATAAGAAGATTTTGATACCTTCTAGAGAAGACTAAAATGATCACCATGCCCAGTCAGGTTTTTCATCTGTTCTTCTGAGGGCAGCTGCAAGAGGTTGCCTAAGAGACTTTATCTGCATAGTGACAGCCTTTGTTCAGTGCAATTCCACCCCTCACCTTCCCATAACTTGTCCTGTTCAAATTCCAAAGAGAATAATTTATAAACTAATTTCTGTCTCCCAGGCCCATTCAGTTCTCCTGAAAAGCATTTTACTATTCCTCAAAATTACCTGCACACTAATCTCCCCTCTTCCCTACAAAAAGAATGCTATTTAAGCCTCAGCTGTCTGGCCCTTCTTTGAGTCTCATATTTATAGGGCTCGCATTTTCATGTACATATTAGCAAATCTGTGTGTGTTTTTCTCCTGTTAATCTATCTATTGTCAATGTATTTTGGCAGGATAACTCAGTTATCACACCTCCAGAGGAAAAGTTTAAACTTCTCTACATGTATTACTCACAATTTTTGCCATGGTCTCCTAATCATTCCAAAGTCTATGTGCCTGCATGATTCAAATAAGCTTGATTCTCTCCTTGCTTGGCACACAATGGAAAAGAATCTATAACTCATATTAATAAGTTTCATTTGTAAATGGGAATCATAGAGACCTTTAAAACCAGCCCTAAATGTGAGGCATTAGATCAATCTAGAGTCATTTGCATTCTAATAGGTCAAAGTTATCTCAATGCTGTATTAATACATTTTACCATATTTAAAGAAGAACATAAAAATGGAATTGCATTCCGATTTTTTTCATTAAAGTTAATTTAACCAAATTTCATAGCTTAAAGGCACACAATTCAACTATCTAGATGTAACAGTGAAATACAGTTTCTGAACTGCTTTGACTAGTAGACAAGATATATTTCTTAATTCCACTTTTATTTTACTTATTTAATCTTCAGGCTATACAACAGTAAGGAACAAACAATGACATTCTCATCTCAAGGCACAAGCATTTATATTATCATTCCCAGTGGGGATGTTGCAGAAGCAAGTTTTAGGTCAACAAGATTTAATTTGTTTTTACTTCTTTTGAAATCAAATCATAGGGTTTTTTAAAAATAAAATGAGAAGTATACGGAAATAAATCATATATAAAGTTATAGGTTAGACATTGAGCTCAAATGTTAAATAAGACAGAATGAGAAAATCAATTCTCCCCCAAGATTAAGAAAGGTGAGAAAAATGTACCAGCACTAGGAGGATGGTAGGGACAGGCTTCCTCCTGCTTGGTTTTATGTATTTAACAAACCTGTCTTGGCTACTATGTGCTAGACATTGATCTATGCACTTTAGAATATTAATTCACCTTTATAGAAACCAATGAAGAGGTTTAGATATTACTATTTTATCCATTTTTAAATGGGAAAAGGAAAGCCATAGAGATTAGGAGACTTTCTTCAAGTCACGTGCTTAATAAGTGGTAAGTGGCAGGGCAGGGATCAAATCCCAGGTGTCTGGCTTCAGAATTGTCTCAGCCACTGGGCCATGCTGCCTTGGTATCCCTTTATAAAATCACTAACTGGGCACAGAAAATACATCTGGGTATGGGATTTGCAAATGTTTTCTCCAAGTCAGTAGCAAGGCTTTTCATTTTTGTTTCGGTGTCTTTTGAAATCCAATTTATTAATTTGTTATTTTACAGATTGTGCTTTCGTTGCCTTAGCCAAGAAATATTTGACTAACCCGAGGTCACAGAGACTTGCTTCTGTTTCATTCTAGAAGTTTTATAGTTTTAACTTTTACATTTAGGTCTATGAACCATTCTGAGTTCATGTTTACATATAATGCAAGGTAAGGACCAAAGTTCATTTTTTTTTGTATATCTAAAAGTCCCAGTACCATTTGTCACACGGCTCTCCTTTCTCCACTGGACTGCTTTGGTGCTTTTGTTGAAAAATCTATTCTCCATATACATGGGGTTCAAGAAGTATTTTTATCACATTTTATAGGAAAATGGAGGTGTTGGTGAAAAAAGCCAAACTCTGTAGAATATTTAAAGAAGTTTATTTTGTGTTGGGAACAAGCCCCCCAAAATCTGGTCATAAACTGGCCCCAAAACTGGCCATAAACAGGATCTCTGCAGCACCGTGACATGTTCATGATGGCCATAATGCCCATGCTGGAAGGTTGTGGGTTTATGGGAATGAGGGCAAGGAACACTTGCCCCGCCCAGGGCAGAAAACCACTTAAAGGCATTCTTAAGCCACAAACAATAGCATGAGCGATCTGTGCCTTAAGGACATGCTCCTGCTGCAGTTAACTAGCCCAACCTCTTCCTTTAATTCGGCCCATCCCTTCCTTTCCCATAAGGGATTCTTTTAGTTAATTTAATATCTGTAGAAACAATGCTAATGACTGGCTTGATGTTAATAAATACGTGGGTAAATCTCTGTTCGGGGCTCTCAGCTCTGAAGGCTGTGAGACCCCTGATTTCCCACCTCTATATTTCTGTGTGTGTGTCTTTAATTCCTCTAGCTCAGCTGGGTTAGGGTCTCCCTGACCGAGCCGGTCTCAGCAATTCTGGGCCAAATATGAGTGACCATGGCTCAAGGCACAGTCTCAAGAGCTCCTGAGAACATGTGCCCAAGGGAGTCGGGCTACAGCTTGGTTTTATTATTTAGGAAGACATAAGACATCAATCAATACATGTAAGTTATACATTGGTTCGGTCCAGAAAGGCGGGACAACTCAAAGTGGCGGTGGGGGTGGGAGGTGGTTGGGGCTTACAGGTCATAGGTGGATTCAAAGGTTTTTCTGATTGGCAATTGGTTGAAAGGGTTAAGTTACCATCCAAAGGTTTAGAATCAATAGAAAGGAGTGTCTGGATTAAGATAAGGGGTTGTGGAGACTAAGGTTCTTCTTATGTAGATGAGGTCTAATAGGTGGCCACCCTTAGAGAAAAATAGATGGTAAATATTTCCTATTCAGATCTTTAAAAGGTGCTAGACCCTCAGTTAATCTCTTCAGGATTGGGAAGGCCTGGGAGGGGAAAGATCTAGCTATGTTAATAGATGTTCTTTTTTTTTTTTCTGAGACAGGGTCTCACTCTGTTGTCCAGGGTGGAGTGCGGTGGCGTGATCTCGACTCACTGCAACCTCTGCCTCCTGGGTTCAAGCAATTCTCCCACATCAACCTCCCAAGTAGCTGGGGCACCACCATGCCAGGCTAATTTCTGTATTTTTAGTAGAGACAGGGTTTCACCATGTTGGCCAGGCTGGCCTCGAACTCCCGGCCTCAAGTGATCCACCCACCTCAGCCTTCCAAAGTGTTGGGATTACAGGCCTGAGCCACTGTGCCCAGCTGGAGATTCTTTATAGATGCAAATCTTGCCCCACAAAAGATGGCTCTGCAGGGCCATTTCAAAATATGGCAAAGAGACATATTTTGGGATAAAATATTTTGATTTCCTTCTTTATCTGTCATGTAATATTATACTAGAGTTGGGTTGAAATGTGGTATCTTGTTACAAAGGTTGTGTTTTGTCAGTGTTATGATCTCTGTTTCAGTGTTAATATTGGTGGCTTGTGCCTGAACTCCTCCTGTCCTGGCCTGACCTAGCTTTTCAGGTTTCTTTGGGCCCCCTTGGCTAACAGAGGGGTCCATTTTAGTCGGTTGGAGGCTAAGAATTTTATTTTTGGTTTACAAAGATGTCAGACTATTAATTAACTCACTGAAGGTCACACAGAAACTAGACTCCCATCACATCCCAAATCCATTTTTTCTCCGTGACTTCAGCAAGCTACTGAACTCTGCTTTTCTCTTTCCTTAAATATAAGATGAGAATGAGTTCCAGTCCCTATCTACCCAGCTGTCTGACCAAGCTCATTTCTTCCCGATTTCCTATTGATTGACGTTAGACAATTCAGGCCTGTGTCCTGGTTTTCTTTTTTTAAACATGAAGCCCCCATTCCTGTACCGAAGAACCAAAGTGGACCCTGACCAGGAGGAATTGAGGCACCTTGTAGCCTTGGCCTCTCACATTGCCTTTCCAGGAATTGACCTGAGACACCACAAATGGGTTATTCAATGGGAGATGCTGAAGTAGGCCCTGGAAAAAGACTCCTGGAACCAAGGCTGCCCTTTAGGAGCCATCATGATGGAGACTCATACAAAGGAGTAATCAGAAAAGCCTCTTTGCAGAGACACTAAGAAAAAGGGGTGGCCACTTGGAGAGATGCTGAGATGAGAAACCTCAGCTCCTGGGCCTCAGTCCTCTGTTCCAAACACTTAAGAGGCTGATAGTCAGCTGTCTCCTATATGTTTATAAGTTTACTTCATTTTTTACTAGAAGTTAGTTTAAAGGAGTTACTGTCTTATGATGAAATGATCCCTGAGACGAAGGGTTTCTGCAGAGATTAAATATGTTTAAATAAGGAAATATTTAGGTTGAAAAATATAAAATTGCAGATATGTGACCATTTTTAAATAAAAATATTTAAATAAAAAAAGCAATGTCATCTGCTTTAATCTAGCATACACTGCAGTGCTTAGCATGGTACCTGAGAGCATCAGTTCCTCACTAGCCTGGCCTTGTCAGAGCTTGTCTTCATTTGAAATGTTGGTATTTTGCTCATAATGAATTTTTTGCATTCATTTTGATATTTTAATATTATGTTAACTATTTATCTTAATGACTGAATTTTTTGGTGACTTCTCAGTTTTGCACACGAGGCAAATGAGGCAGTTGCTCACCTCAGTCCTGGCCCTGACGCAGAGCTCATCATTAGCTCGTTAATAGTGTACTTGTGGTTGGGTGCGGTGGCTCACGCCTGTAATCCCAGCACTCTGGGAGGCCAAGGCGGGCGGATCATGAGGTTAGGAGATTGAGACCATCCTGGCTAACATGGTGAAACCCCATCTGTACTAAAAATACAAAAAATTAGCCGGGCGTGGTGGTGGTCGCCTGTATTCCCAGCTGCTTGGGAGGCTGAGGCAGGAGAATGGCATGAACCTGGGAATTGGAGCTTAGCTTACAGTGAGCCAAGATCACGCCACTGCACTCCAGCCTGGGTGACAGAGCAAGACTCTGTCTCAAAAAAATAAAAAAAAGTGTACGTGTTTGTTGTATTATTGAAGTTACTCATGGAAAATAACTGGATTGCAATCAACCAGTCCTTTTGTAATCAGTGTATCTGATTCATTAAAAGACAGTCTTAAAAAGTACTCCACACTCTGATGATGGAAAATTGCCCACATATCAGTACTCACACAAGATATACAATCTTTTTTTTTTTTTTTTTTTTTTTTTTGAGTTTCAAGCTGTCAAGTCGTGAAAGAAAGGATATATTTTTAGAATGTGGCTTTAGGGAGGAGTTGAAGAAGAAAAAACATTAATTTAGTGTCTGTTCCCTGCTAGGCACCGTTCAGGTAAATTACAGATGTTAACTCATTGAAACTCAGAGCTACTCTGAAAAGTGGGTGCTGTTACTCTCACTGCAGAGACAAGAAAACTGATTATAATGAATAAATCAAGATCACATAGGAAGTAAATGACAGACATGCAGTTTGATGATTTTAAATATTTTCACAACACCATGCTGTCTCTCACTTAGTTTAGAATAATTTTGTGTCACTCTAGATTATATTTTCACTTTAAAAATCCTAGGAGCCCTAGAGACTATGGTAAAACAATACCCTTTTAAATCAGCACTTTACATAATTCTGGGATTTATTTTTTATTATATTGTTCTTTTTTGAGATGGAGTCTTGCTCTGTCGCCCAGGCTGGAGTGCAAGGGCACGATCTCCACACTCTGCAACCTCTGCTTCCTGGGTTCAAGTGATTCTCCTGTCAACCTCCTGAGTGTCAGGCCTCTGAGCGCAAGCTAAGCCATCATATCCCCTGTGACCTGCACATATACATCCAGATGGCCTGAAGTAACTGAAGAATCACAAAAGAAGTGAAAATGGCCTGTTCCTGCCTTAACTGATGACATTACCTTGTGAAATTCCTTCTCCTGGCTCATCCTGGCTCAAAAGCTCCCGCACTGAGCACCTTGTGACCCCTGCCTCTGCCCGCCAGAGAGCAACCCCCTCTTGACTGTAATTTTCCTTTACCTACCTAAATCCTATAAAATGGCCCCACTCCTATCTCCCTTCGCTGACTCTCTTTTTGGACTCAGCCCGCCTGCACCCAGGTGAAATAAACAGCCTTGTTGCTCACACAAAGCTTGTTTGGTGGTCTCCTCACGTGGACACGAGTGAAACCGATAGCTGGGATTACAAGTACCCGCCACTATGCCCAGCTAATTTTTTTTATTTAGTATTTTTAGTACAGACAGGGTTTCACCATGTTGCCTAGGCTGGTCTCGAACTCCTGAGCTCAGGCAATCTACCTGCCTCAGCCTCCCAAAGTGCTGGGATTACAGGCATGAGCCACTGCCTCTGGCCTTATTTTTTAAACTGGGAGTCAATTGCCAGGCTACTGTATACCTTTGCATTTATAAGTCATAAGTGTTCATACGCAGCCATGAGGTGCTAGGAGGAAGAAGCTCTTCCACGGATTCATTCAGGCATTCACCGAACAAATATCTGAGACTTCATGCTGTGCTAGGCCCTAAGAAAATGACAGATTGCTCCTGCCCCACAGGACCTACTTACAACGTAGGGAGACACTGTGTGTTGAAATAATTTGCTGGCCACTTAGAAAAAACATTATGTTTGGACTCCTGTGTCACAACTCACCTCAAAACCAATCCTGGAAGCACATAAGAATTAATGTGAAAATTAAAACATAAAAGAGCTAGGTAAAAGTAAAAAAAAAAATCCTTGTGGCTTACATGTGGACTTTGTAGATATAATACTGAAAGCTAGAAACCATAAAGAAAATATTGTAACTTAAAAGTTCCCTTGACCACGGAGCTCTCTCACCTGAACACTAGTAAAGCACTGCGCAGATTCACAACTCATCCTGTCATTGTTTTCCTTATCAACACTAGCCCTGACAACTGTTGTAAAAACAAAACTTGTCAGCACAATTTTTAATTGCTGCAACTTTTCCATTTTGAAAATTCAGGTTCTGCTCTTCACAGTGTAGCATCAAACAGTCAGAGTTGCTGCTTACCATGATCTCACCAAGCCAAGGGGACCAAGCCTTCTTCCAACTTATTCTCCAGCCTACTGTGAAAAAAGTCATCAGGTAGCGGGAGAGAAAGTAGAGCACGTGCATTTCAAAGAACCTTAACTGGAGTCATCGGAGACTTCAGAACGTCTTGTCATGTTCTTATTTCCTCAGTAAATGCAGAATAATAAGCATGTGGCCACAAGCTTTGGCAATGAACACAGCCTAATCAAAGCTAATGCAAGTCAGGCAGGGCCTCCAAAGAGGCCCTGTCTAATCTTTGCACCGTCCTTTTAATACGTTCGAAGGGCTTCTACACATTTAACCCCAAGAAGCACAAAGGCAGGAGCCTAAATTAAGTTCAAGAAGACGTCTCAGCCACCTTGAGTGACAGGTGGGTAGAGAGCACTGGTGACACTGTTGTTCCCTCCCCAACAGCCCCACAGAAATGCAAAGCCAGTCAGATCCAACCCCGACTGCTCATCCTCCTGTCTTTTCTATCTCAGTTAATGAAATGGCCATCTACTCAAATCCTCAAGCCAGAAACTTATCATTGTTTCTCTTTCCTCTCTCCTGGTCCTCACAGCTGTTCTACCTTCTGAATACAATCCATGTCTCACCAGCTCTAAACCAGACTCTGGGCTCTGAGCCAGCATCGTCTGTAGTGGGATGTAGTGGCCCCCTGAGGAGTTTATATCCCCCAACTCCGCCTACAAACATCGAGAGTGATCTTTTGAAAATGTAAATCAGATCATATCACTCCCATGCTTCAAAGCTCTTGAAATGCTCCCCGGCCACTTTGAATGACATACAAATTCCTAGTGGTGGCCTCTAAGACTCTACATGATTTGGTCCTGACTGGGTTTCTGACCTTTGTGATCATGTAGCTATTAAGCAACACTTTAACTGATTATTTGTAGAGGTCCACAATGGATTATAGAATATTATATATAGTTGAGAACAATATTTAAAAGAATATGTAGAGAAATACACACACACAATACACACATGCATATATACGTGTATATACACCTATGATTATATTTTAGAGAATGCATATGCTCATGCCACCATAGGAAGCACACAGGACCAGCCTCCTTGTTGTCACATACTCCCCTTTACAGAAAGAGCCCCAAAACAATTGTTGCCCTCTTCTCAGGGGGCATTTCAGAATCCTTGGGAAGGATATTCACTTAAACGCTTTCCATTTTGGCAATGAATAATATCTTAAGAGGGTTAGAACACTTGTCAACGACCACTTACACATATTTTTTTCCTAAACTTCATGCTCTTCAAAATTGAGAAAAAAAAATTAAGAACTATTCTTGTCTTCAAGAAGACAAAGAATACAGTCTGCCTGAATTGTGAATTCAAAGGTATATTCTCTCATTCAAATTACTATTTCTATTGTGTAGAATTTCTCCTCTCATTCAAAAGAAAGAAATGTGAATCTTCTCATAGGGAGGGATGTGTAGCATTTATGTTCTGGAAAAATCCTCTGTGATGAGCCGCATTGTGCATGTGATGCCCACACCCTTCTCAGGATGTGAATCGCAGAGTCCATCATATCAGTGAGCCAAGAAGCTTGGGTATGTTTGCCAATGACTTAATACACAAGAGTGTGTGTTTTGGAAATTATATCTAACATAATGTTCATTTTGGAAAGCACTTACTCTGTGCCAGACAGTGTGCTGAATCTTATGCGTGAATCATCTCTTAGCTCGAGACTTTTTTTTTAAATGAGATTTATATTCTCATTTTACATGCAAGATGAATGAGCCAACTTTAGAGATTGAGCAACAGGTTCCCAGAAACAGAGCATGTACGGTCTATGCTCTGCCGCACCCATGAATTAGCATATATTGAAAACTATGTAGGGGCAACAAATGCACAGTACCCCATATAACTTGCTGGGGACCAGAACATGATACCTCCAAATATGGTGCCTTGGCAATCGAGGAAACTGCAGAACAAGAAAGTCACTCTGACCTCCTCCCACCTTTCTGTGTAAAACATAGTTATAAACGATTTCTCTGACCTTCCTCACCTGAAATTAAGTTGTAAGACCCTCACTCCATAGGAGCCCTGCCCCATTCCCAGGGGGAAGGAATGCTACTCAGAAAGGCCAAGGAGAATCTGAACAAGAGACCTTTCTAAGTTCCCCCCAGTTTATTACCATTACGTCACACCCTTTCATCCAATCATAGTTCTACATGACTGTTTATTCTATATCAAACCTAAGCATACAAGTACACGCTTTTCTCTAGATCTTCATTTCTGAAACCTCCTGTGCCATGCAAAACTTCAGTTAAATAAATTTTTATGCTTTTCTCTTGTTAATCTGTCTTTTGTTATCAAGGTGTCAGCCATGACCCTTGTGATGGGTGAGGAAAAGGTATTGCTTTTTCACCCCTACAAAACCCATAACATGTTAGCTCAGTCAGAGCCTTCCCCCTCAAAAAGTAACATGCTAATTTCTTTTAATTGGGTTCAGTTATGTTACCATAAAATATGGTACCTTGACATTTGAGGAAACTGAAGAAGAAATATCACTCTATGACTGTCCCTGATCCTCCTTCCTAAAAGCATGTCCTAAAACCTAGGATGGATTTTCTGACCTTCTCCTGAAGCAGGTCATAGGACTCTTATTTGAGAGGTTCTCCCTATACCCAGAGGAAAGGAGCATCCTTATCTCCGAAGACACAGGGACACAGAGAAGAACCTGCACAAAAGCCTTGCTAAGTTTCCTTCAGTGTGTTACCATGAGGTCTACCCACCTTGTCCAGTTATATTTCTTCATGACTGTACATCAAATGTAGCATAAGAAATACACGTTTTTTTTTGTTTGTTTGTTTGTTTGTTTATGGGATGGAGTCTTGCTCAGTCACCCAGGCTGGAGAGCAGTGGCGCGATCTCGGCTCACTGCAAGCTCCGCCTCCCGGGTTCATGCCCATTCTCCTGCCTCAGCCTCCCGAGTAGCTGGGACTACAGGCGCCCGCCACCACGCCCGGCTAATTTTTTGTATTTTTAGTAGAGACAGGGTTTCACCGTGTTAGCCAGGATGGTCTGGATCTCCTGACCTTGTGATCTGCCCACCTCGGCCTCCCAAAGTGCTGGGATTACAAGCATGAGCCACCGCGCCAGGTCAATACACAGGTTTTCTACTTCTTTAGTTCTTTATTTTTCATGAAGTCATGTCATGTAAAACTTATTAGTAGGTTTTATGCTTTTCTCTTGTCAATTTGTCTTTTGTTATAGGGGCCTCAGCCATGAACCTAGCAATGGCTGAGGAAAAGATACCTCTTTTCCCCTGCACTTTTAACTATCTATAACAGAAAAAAAAAAAAAACTCACTTTGACAAGCACACATTGAAGTCTCCCCAGAGAAGGAATCAGAGCCGTAATTTGTTTTTTCTTTTAATTTAGATTTTACTTCTATCCTAGATCAGTCCCATTCTTTCTGCTATTTCTCTGGTCCCAGACCTCTTTATTTTACCTCACAACTAGTTTACCAGCTCCCTTAAGGTGACCCATCATTAACTTTCTTTTTTAATCTTTCAGCTAGCCTATTGTCAACTACTCCCAAAGCCTGGAAAGAAGCTCTGCCCATTGTCACTCTCCTGCTCTTGATATATCTGATATTGTTTCTGATTCTGCTATTTTCTGACATGCTTATCAAAAAAGGCCTGATTTCCAAATAATGAGAAACACCGAACTAATATATTAAAACATGGAATTTGTGCAGATGCTTTATAGAGAAACAATAACATTCATAATGTCAATATTTGATGGTAAAAATGAGGACTGAGCCTGGCTCATGAGGGATGCTGGTCTATTTCTCCATTTCACTTGCGATAGCCACACTTGCTTGGTTAAGCTCTTGAACAATTTCCTTGTGAGACAGAACCTTTAAGAACGACGTAGGCTAAGATGAGAAATGGAAACCAGCCAGTTCACTGACCTTAAAGAATACGAACAAAAAACCAGAACACCTGCTTGTTCTTTGGCAGGCACAGCAGCTGTGGTACACCTCTGGCTCCTGGCCTTCCCACCCACCAGCCATCCTAAATATACAGAACACAAAATTGGGAAGGGCTATAAGCGCAGTGAGAAAACTCACTTAACTCACTTAAGGCTATCATTCTTTCTCATGTTTTTTTTTTAATACAATTTTAAAATGTTCTCTTATGTAAAATATTAAAAGGAGGAAGATATTTTATTTACCGTAAGCAGCTATTGAAGAAGAGAGAATGATTCCTTGTTAACTGGATCTTTTCCTTGAGAAACAACAGCAGTGTTTGAAGTCTCTGGCATCTTACTTGGGAGGCTGGTAATAGCTTGAATTCATCATTTCAAATAAAGTTTTCATTGAAACTAATTTTTTTGTTCATTAAACATAAATAGAATCCTATGTAAAAGGAGAAAGTATTTTGTTAAAAAATGTATCTAGTGAAAAGAATATTAAGTTATTCAATTCTGTATTCATCCATCCACCCATCCATCCATCCATGTACTCTCTGTATACATTTGCTGAGAACCTATTGTATGCTGGGCACCATGAGAGGTGTTAAGATATCGAGGTAAACAAGATGCATCTAAGTTAATATATGCTTTCATCTTTTAAAAGTCTACTTCATTCCTACCAAATATTTTTTAGCAACCCTGATGATCAAGCTGAGAAACACTGGTTTCAGACACACACACACACACACACACACACGAGACACACACACCCACACACACACCACCCCCCCACCCCCCCCGCCCCGATGTAACCCAGTGCAGACTCAGCTGCCCACAGCTTGCAAAGTCAGTAACAAGGAGGAAGTCTGTAGTGAAAGGAAAGTTACTTTGTTTCCAAAGCTAGCAGCAGGGAAGCAGGCTGCTTACCTTACGCCTCCAGAAACCTCTTAAAACTTTAGGCTGGGGAGAAAGGCTTAAAAAGGGGAAATTGGAATGGGAGGCCCGTGGGAGAGTGCATTGCACAAGGTCTGCTGTCTTGTTCTGGTGCCTATTTCAAGCTGTGGTCCACTTGAAGGGCAGGTTGCTGTCATCTCAACAATTGACGAGTTGTTGACAGCCACCTTGAGGTCATCACTGGGATTTTGCAGCGGAGTCTCCATGCTTGGTCTGTCTTTTTTTTTTTTTTTTTTTCTGAGACGGAGTCTTGCTCTGTCGCCCAGGCTGGAGTGCAGTGGCGCGATCTCGGCTCACTGCAAGCTCCGCCTCCCGGGTTCACGCCATTCTCCTGCCTCAGCCTCCCCAGTAGCTGGGACTACAGGCGCCCGCCACCACGCCCGGCTAATTTTTTGTATTTTTAGTAGAAACGGGGTTTCACCGTGTTAGCCAGGATGATCTCGATCTCCTGACCTCGTGATCCACCCACCTCGGCCTCCCAAAGTGCTGGGATTACAGGCATGAGCTACGGCGCCCTGCCGCTTGGTCTGTCGTAACGTTAGGCCCTGGAACTTCTAAATAAGAACATAATTAGATACGTTACGTGCTTAAATAAACTAGATAAATGTGTGTGGGGTATACAAGCATACAGCTAGATAAATGCACCTGGGGTAAAGGAAAACATGGTGAGAAACGGAAGGAAGTAGGGTTTCAAAGTATCTTTCAAGGCTATATTTTAAGACTAAGGAAAAACATTTCTAGAGATTGTTTCAAGGTTTCAACTTGAGACTGGGAAGAAAGGAAAAAGGAGAAAGAAGTTTTAAAGTGCTTTTTCAGGCAGGGCTGTTCGGTTACACTATTTAGGAGTTGGAGCAGCTGCCTCCAGATTTGTATGCACGCCTCTGCCCCTTTGTTTTCATGGCATGGCCATAGAACATGCCTTTGTCCATATCTTGCCCATAATCAAACCTCAGCTCCTGCAACTGCCCCCATAAACAGGCACTTATAACCCGCACATTCTGTGTGTCTTTATGTCAGCTGCCCCTTTCTGTTCTGGGTTACAGCTATTTACGTAAATGATTTTCTCCCCTCTACATCCTGTACATTACTTTGCAGCACAGAATCCCATCCATAGGTGCCTATCACAGTGCCCAGCACGTGACAAACCTCCATAGTAGGTATTCCATAAATATTTGAAAAATCACAAATTATTCTGAGAGGAGAAAGTGTGACATTGCTCCGGTGGCAGGACTTGTCTTGGAAAGAGAGGAAGAAGAAATTTTCACTCTGAAGGATAGGGAGAAATAAAGAGAAACTGATGTAGGAAACAATTTTTTTATTGAGAAGAGATCAGATACAATGATGCTGCAGAAAAGATCTTGCTGACAATTATTATTAATCACAGTGTTGTTGGTTTAACTTAAAAATCACTGTCCACAGACTTCCTAGAAAAAGGAACACAACATAATTGTATTTGGCAGTTCAGCCTCATCTTCTTCTTTTTTTTGAGACGGAGTCTCACTCTGTCGCCCAGGCTGGCTGGAGTGCGGTGGCGCGATCTCGGCTCACTGCAAGCTCCGCCTCCTGGGTTCACACCATTCTCCCGCCTCAGCCTCCGGAGTAGCTGGGACTACAGGCGCCCGCCACCATGCCCGGCTAATTTTATTTTTGTATTTTTAGTAGAGACGGGGTTTCACCGTGTTAGCCAGGATGGTCTCGATCTCCTGACCTCGTGATCCACCCGCCTCGGCCTCCCAAAGAGCTGGGATTACAGGCGTGAGCCACTGCCCCCGGCCAGCCCCATCTTCTTTAATCCTACGACCTCGATAGCTTTGCCCACAAAATATATTTACATTTTTTCCTTCAGTTTTCTACCTATTTTTCAACTCTTTTTGAAAGTCCTAAGACCCACTCTAAACCAGTTAATCATACAACCCATTGTTGAGTATCATTTATGTGACTAATTTCTGTCTTCCTTTTCATACGATTTCATGACGTTATATCTTACTGCATCCAAGTTTTATCTGTAGCTGTGTGTGCTGGCAGATAAAACATTAAATAAAATATGTGGCAAGATCTAAGTCTGTTGCCATCATTTATGTGGGTCTTTTTCAGTGAAGTCATTAACATTTCTTTCAACATGTTAGTCATACACTTTTATTTATTATAACTTAATAAATTCACTGATTTGAGCCATTGAGTCACATTTCTTCAGCCTATGGAACACATTTTATAGAGCTATTATTCTCAGAGTAATAAGTTCATAGAGAATTGGGATGGGCAGTTGAAACATGGGTTACTTAACACCAGGAGACAGAAAAGCATGAAGAGCTAACTCGTATGCCTCTGAGTGTGTGGTCACACTGAACATGAGGGGTACCAAGGGCACATCTCCCCTTGCGCGATTCGTCTCCTTTCTGGGGGACCTGGAGAAGGGGAGGTAGGTGAGGAGGCTGGTATGGCTATACAATGTTTCCCACAGTGAGAAGATACCAGTTCAACAGTGCTTTTTAAATTATTCCCCACATCACTTCACCTTTCCTTTTTCCTACCTGATGCCGTGTTCTGGGACAATGGCTGCAACTGCAGGTGCCACAAACAGGAATGCCCCTGAAACAAGAATCTGTAACTATACTTTTAAACTTTGATGTCACAATTTCTAAGAAACTGGTAAAGCAGATTTTACCTTCACCCTGTCTGACAAGGCTGGAATTGACAGGGAATGCTGCTGTACTGCCTAGTGGTCGAGACAGCCCACTGGTTCTGTACCTATGTAACCCTGCCCCATGGGCATGGGAATGGACGGAGAGGCACTTGCTACACTAGTGTTGCTTCTGGCAATCTGAACCAGCACGGGGGCCTCACCTAACATCCCTTCCGAAGGTAGAAAATTAAAACTAACTGGCTGGGCGTGGTGGCTCATGCCTGTAATCCCAGCAGTTTGGGAGGCCAAGGCAAGGCAGATCACGAGGTCAGGGTATCGAGACCATCCTGGCTAACACGGTGAAACCCCGTCTCTACTAAAAGTACAAAAATTAGCCAGGCATGGTGTCGGGTGCCTGTAGTCCCAGCTACTCGGGAGCCTGAGGCAGGAGAATTGCTTGAACCCGGGAGGTAGAGGTTGCAGTGAGCCGAGATGGAGCCACTGCACTCCAGCCTGCGTGACATAGTGAGACTCTGTCTCAAAATAAAAAATAAAAAAAAAATAAAACTAACTGATAACTGGAGAAAAGAAAGAATAATCGGTGAGAGTAAATAAATGAATAAATGGGTTATGCAATGAAAACCCAATATTACATTGGTACCTTGTGTATTAATTGTAGTTTCTTATTTCTATATTCTTGGTGCTCTGGCATTTGGCCCTCACTGACTGTAGAGGGTAAAGCTCACTCCTAGAAATAGCAAACATGGCCCAGAAGCACGCCTTTCATATGCAAACCAGACGACCCACAGCCCAGAGCCCTCAACTCTTTCTTTTATCACGCGCAGACATCCAATCAATATTCCTCTGCCCCAAGTCATCTGAGAGACAGGAACCAGACAACTCTGGACAGCCTCTATACCCCAGGGCCCAGCGAAATTATTCAAATAGCCAATGCTAAATCTGCTTACCTTGCCTCACTCATTCTTTCCCACAGAAATCACAATACAGGCTAGAGCCCAAGAGCCCACATTTTCTTCCTGCTCCCTCTGCCTCCCGACCAACCTGGTGCTTCCCCAGGTGGCCCTGTGTGGCATGGAGTTCCTCTACCCCACTCCCCCAACCATAACTGTGAGTAACCACCCCCTCAACTGTGAGTAACAAGCTGTCTTTTGAAGTGCCTTCATCTCCTGATCTTTTGGCCTCACTATACCTGCATAGCAATGAAACCTAAGTTTTAAAACACCTTGAGATGGCCAGGCGCCGTGGCTCACACCTGTAATCCTAGCACTTTGGGAGGCCAAGGTGGGTGGATCACCTGAGGTCAGGAGTTGAAGACCAGCCTGGCCAACATGGCGAAACCCCGCCTCTACTAAAAATACAAAAGTTAGCTGGGCATATTGGTAGGAGCCAGTAAACCCAGCTACTTGGGAGGCTGAGGCAGGAGAATTGCTTGAACCCTGGAGGTAGAGGTTGCAGTGAGCCAAGATGGTGCCACTGAACTCCAGCCTGGGGGATACAGCGAGACTCTGTCTCCAAAAAAAAGTAAAATGAAATAAAAAATAAAACACCTTGAGAGTGGCTCAGAGCAAGAAATGTGTTGACCTAGAAGGAGGAAGCTGAGGCAAAATTAGTATCAATGGAGTTTATTTGGGCCAAGCTTAAGATTGCAACCCAGGAGCATAAGATTGAAGTTGCCACCATATACATTCCATTTAGCAGCAGTTACAAGTAGGTTTATAAAGACAAAAAATGGGGGACAGGGAGTGGGCTGATACAAACTGGTTTGTCAGGAATCCTTACTGCTTTACAGAAATAACATTGATTAATGATTCGCTATACATCCTTAAGCTGTAGGGTGTGGCATTATTAAGTTAATTTACAGCTGCTGGTGGCAAAAGCAAGCAGTTCCAAGAGAGGAATACAGAGCTCAAAGCAGGGAGGAGGACGTGACTGCTGCCTCATTTTAATCTCTCTTTGGGCCTGATAATTAAAAGGACTTGCATTTCTCAGATAAGAGTTCTTTTCTTTCCTCAAATAAAATTGTCTCTTAGGAAAGTTATGCCAGTTGCCAGAAAGAGAAGCCAAGACTACTTCTGCTTTTGGAAACTTACAAGGTCAAATGGAAGCCTGCAAACCTGAATAACCAAAGGTCATGAGGCCTAATATGGTAGAAAGTCACTGGCCTGAAATCAGTCATTTCTAGTAATCTCCGGACTAGTTTCCTATTTTCACATTCATGATTCAGTGCTTTGGGGATGTTTTCTTGTGCCTGCAACTTTTACTTTAAGCCCTCACATAATAGCAATAACACGGTTTATTAAGTCTATCACTATGTTAAGCGTTCACATTTATATCTTCTGCAATTGTCCAGGAACCCTTCATGGTAAGCAAAGGTATCTCTACTTTAATAAGATAGAACCTGAGATATATAGAGAAAATAATTTCACAAAGTCACAAAGCTAGCAAGTGACAGAACCAGAGCTGTTTTCTTTGAATTCAGGCTCTATGTCCTTATACCAAAGCCCCTCTCAAGAGTATTTGTTAGATTCTCAAGTCTAGCCAAACAACCTTCTGCAAACCCAAATGATAATAGAGTACCATTCTTTTTTTTTTTTTTTTTTTTTTTTTTTTTTGAGATGGAGTCTTGCTCTGTCGCCCAGGCTGGAGTGCAGTGGCGCAATCTGGGCTCACTGCAAGCTCCACCTCCCGGGTTCATGCCATTCTCCTGCCTCAGCCTCCGGAGTAGCTGGGACTACAGGCGCCCGCCACCACGCCCAGCTAAAGTTTCATATTTTTAGTAGAGATGGGGTTTCACCATGTTAGCTAGGATGGTCTCAATCTCCTGACCTCGTGATCCACCCACCCCAGCCTCCCAAAGTGCTGGGATTACAGGTAGAGTACCTTTCTTATAGGATAAGTGTGTGTGTGCCTGTGTGTGTGCATGTGTGTATGTTACTCATTTGATGGGTACCACAGAGTTTTTTGAGTCAAAATGTGACTGGCAAAATGCTCTTAATTGAAGAAAACCACAGATGAACCATGTACAGTCTGAGACTCTTTCAAGTAACTGAAACAGCTCTTGTCCTCCCTTATAAGATCTCTGACAATAAACCTACCAATGTCTTGCATTCACAAAATGTGCTTTTTTTTTTTAGAACGTTGGTATGAATTGTATCTCAGTGAAATTAGAACCATCTCCCTCCTCAATTATGAGATTTGGTTGGTGACCACCGGTTTATTGTATTGATAATGAAATCTCACAATTAACTTCTTTTCTGATCAGGAACCCACCCGATTGGCAAACATTGAAAAGGTGGATGGCATTAAGACTTGCCAAGGATGTGGAGCAACCTAGAGACACACGTTGTTGAGGGAGTATCCATTGCCACAACCACCTTTGAATACAATATTTATTATTTTCATTCAAATAACAGAAAATATACATACTCTACCACTCAAATTTGCCTCTCTTAGTTTTGTATCTTGGAGTAGACTTGTAGAATCGGAAGGCACCATACATAGATATTTACTGAAATATTGTTTTAATCTGTCTAATCAAATGAACAAAAATAATTCAGAGTACATTATCCACAGAATGGATCAATAAATCATGGATATGCACCCAATGGAATACCATAGAGTAGAGAAAAAGAATACATTGCAGCTGTGAGAAACAATGTACATGAAAATCAGGAACATAATACTGCATGAAAGAAGTAAGGCTGCATGAGAGTACATGCAACATGCTTCCATTTATATAAAATGCAAAAAGGCGCAAACCTAACCAATTTAGAAACATTCTGGAGCATGGGAAGTTGCATTTACATACTCAGATGTAGTTTCTACAAATCCGAAATATTTTAAGCAGTATTTTTATTAGTTTACATAGCATATGTAACTCTGAAAGGGAGGCAAGTAGGCATAGATACAAAATAATATTCATAAAATCTATACAACCGACATACAATGACAACATAATGAGCATGAATGTACCGATTCAGTTTTAAAAGTAAACATTCTCGGCCGGGCGCAGCGGCTCACGTCTGTTATCCCAGCACTTTGGGAGGCCAAGTCTGGTGAATCACCAGGTCAGGAGTTCGAGACCAGGCTGGCTAAGATGGTGAAACCCCATCTCTACTAAAAATACAAAATTAGCTGGGTGTCATGGAGGGTGCCTGTAATCCCAGCTACTTGGGAGGCTGAAGCAGGAGAATCACTTGAACCTGGGAGACGGAGGTTTCAATGGGCCAAGATTGCACCTTTGCACTCCAGCCTGAGCGACAGAGCAAGACTCCTCAAAAATAAAATAAAATAAAATAAAATAAAACAAAATAAAAATAAACATTCTCACTTTCTGTAGTCTTCTGTGTGCTTTCACCCCTTTCCTCCAAGTAAAAAGAAACCCCATCCTCTATTTTATTTTGTTTCGTATTTTTACTCATTGGTGTGTCCACATCATTTTCTTGCTTTTTAAGACTGGAGATCTCTTTGACAACATTATGTTTCTTTATTTGCTTCCGGCCTTTAGAGCCTGTGCATACTCTACTTACGTGCATGCAGTTTTAACTTGAATGTAATATCTATTACATGAATAATGTTCCATTTCCCAATTCGTATCTATATTCCAGGAGTGGCACATATGTTAGAGCAAGTGCAGAACAAACTACATTTTTCATCACTGCACTTTAGACGTAAGTCACGTTAACATGTCAGGTATCTTGGCGGATACAAGATTACTAATGTCAGGTTATTTAACTAGGTAATTACAAGGAGCCTATATTTAAACTCGATTTTAAAAAGCACGTTTTAAATAAGAAAACTTAACAAGCCATGGGCTGAGTCCTGACAGCTGGGCCCCGCAGCGGCCACGTCACTGAGAGGGAGAGATTGTCTCTGTGACAGTGTGCACCAGGGCTACTGCCACAGGAAGCTGCTCCTCAGACCCAGCACATCACCTGCCGCAGGGAGAGTAGGGGTTGGTAGAAGAGTCCAGGCCCCAGCACCCTTCCTGCCCCAAGAATGTCTGCTTCAGGCTGCTTTATTCATCCAACTTGCAGGTGACATTTCATCTGAAAGACATGTTCTGAAGCAAAAAACTAAACAAATCATTGAACTAGGTATAAGATCTCTCCACTTCTCGACTGTTCTGGTATGACCACTTAAATTGTCACAAGCATAATTATCCAAATAATAGTAAATGTGTGGCTAAATTAAAATAGATAAGCACTACATCTTGATGAATGCTTTTAATCAATTCTCACTAAGCCAAAACAAAATTTGAAAAAAATTGTTTTACTCAATTACCCAAAACTGTATTTTCTTTTTAAATTGATGCATAATATTTGTACATATTTATGGGGTACATAAATATGAT